>NC_000010.11:1373636-1525151 GCF_000001405.40 Homo sapiens | reverse complement strand
TTACAGCTATTAGTACAAAAAGTGTTTTCTGGGGTGGTTTCCTGGCATGAAACTCAGGATTTATAGAATCTCTTCCTGTTCGTGAAGTTATTATTATTATTTTATTACTAAAGCCCTTAACTAAAGCAAGGATGCTTACTTAAATTGGCAGCTAGCTGTGAAAATGGAAAGGTAAAAAGACATAGCAGTATGTATTTGTGGATATAAACTATCTTTAAATCTGGAGGCTCAGACATAGATTGGACTATCCTGACTATTTTCTGTGTATTTCATTCCAGCCAGACTGCTAGTTCTAGGCTGGAAATATTATTCTCAACATAGAATTACAGGCCTTTGTGTCACCGCTCACTGTGATAGCCAGCAGTTCCTGGACCCTCACAGCACCTGTACACAGCACACATGAACACACGCGCGTGTGCACTCTGACCCTGCCTACCACCTCCCCCCGGGCAGCCACCGGGCTGTGCTGTTCTCGTAATCAAAGGTGGAGATGAGGAAAGTGTCTGCCTACAGCAAACACTCAGAAATAGATTCCTGTGAAAACCAAACAAAAAGGCAATAGAAAGGAGAAGTGGGAGATACTACATTTTTCATTAGGGCTGTTGCTGTGGAGGTTTTAGAACTTGGGCTCAGGAAAAGTGCTTCTTGCTGATTGACCCATTATCCAAGTCTGGTTGGAGGAACTTGTGATGCCAGCAGGTCTGAAAATTGCCCAGAAGATCACAAACATGGATGCCTGCTGGTGGACCAAAGAGATATTAAGGAACTCTAATTATTTTCTTTTATATCTTTCCTACTGAGTATTGGACACGTTAGTCACAAATGGCGACTGAATTAGTGGGACTTATATGTGGTGATTCCATAGGCATCAAAACACCTGTGAGGCTTAGTAGTCATAAAGTCCTGACCCTATTTTTGCTCTATTGCACCAAATACATTCATTGTATTATAAGAAGTTTGTATGTCTCAGACTCTCCTACAAAATTTTGTGTACCTTAAAGATAGTGACAAAGAATTATCTACCTATCATCTATTCTCTCTCTCTCTAATCTATCTATCTATCTATCTATCTATCTATCTATCTATCTATCTTCATATCCCCAGGATACTGTCTAGAATATAGTAAGTGCTGAATAAATTAATGAAATGCTTAATTAAAAAATGAATAGGTGAATGAATGAGTAGATGGATGGATGGATGGATGGATGCATGGGTGGATATTGAGTAGACAGATCAGGTTGATTAGAGAAAGAAACAAGCTATTCAATACTGTTTATAATATGCAGGCCATTTATACAGAAAAGAGCATTTATAAAATAGGAGATTAAAAGGATGACAGATTAGAAAATGAAATGTTCAAGATTTGTGCTGATATAATGGTGAAACTGGGATGGGGAGCATCTGACTAGATTTTAGAGAGAATTAAGCCTCAAGGTAAAACATTTTGATTTTATTTCAGTGATACTCTAAATCATTGCTTGTTTCTGATAAGGAAAGAGTCAGTATTAATTTGGAAGCTGCAAGGTTGGAATAAAGTTATTTTAATGATGAGTGGAGAATCTGAAATGTTGGAACAGGCTCATGGTCAAAATGCAGAAACTCGTGATAGAGATGAATGAGACCGAGGTGCTATTCCAGACGAAGCCTCTGGCAGGTTCTTTAAGCAAATCTAATGTGAGGGGGTGGGATGGCCCAGCAAGCATAGGGGCTTTGTTCTTGGTTTCCCCAGCTCAGGGCTGCGTGACGTGCATGTAACTTAACCCTGTAACCGAGCCACCTCCAACTTCCTGATCTGTAACACAGTGGGGTGGAGACTATGTCCTCTTGCACTTACACAAAATCTTGGTTCTAATGTTCGGATAAAATATTACTTCCACTGCCTACGTTACATATCTAAGTAGATAACCATTTGTTATCATTATTAATTAATTTGTCATCAGATTAAACAGAAATTCACAGATATTTGCCATACTTGTTTCTCTCTGAAGAAAAATAAAACCTAAAGCTAAGAAATAGCCATTGTCGATTTTGGATTTGTCACATAGTGTTATCGATTTGCTATAGAAACGTGAGTCGGTGCTCTTCTAACAAAAGGATGATGTCACCAAGCAGCGGACTCACATCTGTCTGCTGGGTGTAAGGAGATAACGATTTGAAACTCACCTGAAAGAGAGCTTAAGGGCTTTATAAGCAATAACATTGTGATCCTCGCACTGGTGAGAGAGAGGAGTCGCTCCTGCCATGGGGACTGGAGCGGCACAAACAAGGTGTCTGGTTAGGAGCCATGGTGAGCTTGGAGCCCAGCATGAAGGGGCCTGGCCTGAGCTGCAGGCACGCTGTCCTCTGAGGACCTCGGAAGTATTCTGAGAAGTAGAAGTGCAACAGTCTTTAGAGGCTACTGAAAAATGGGGCTAAGATCCACGAGTTCAATAACTAACGTATAAACGGGCAAAGGAAGAAGGAGAGGAATGATTGCTGAGAAGAGGGACATGTGTAGGGTTGGCATGTGTCTGTAAGAGTCCCTAGTACATACTGGACCACCTGACACACACACTGAGTGACAGAAGGAGCTGGAACATGCAAAAGTGGAGACGTTGTCCTCGTCCTCATCACAGACAGAAGGTGGCATCTGGGCCTGGACCTTCCTGGGAGTCGGGGTTTACACCATGGCTAGCTGGGGACACTGGTTTCTGGTTTGCAGGAAAGGCCTTCAGCCACCCTTTGTTTTACTGCCCTCTGACTCTCAGGCATCAGACACCCCACAGCGAATTTTCCTGCCTTCCACCTCCCCCTCTTAGAGGCAGTGTCCTGTGGCTTTTTCTCTCAGATTCCTATAGTTTGTGAGGCCAGAGATCAATTGTCTCTGATCCCTGTCTATCTGGTTATATGAAGACAACCTCTGTTACTAGCAGCTACTTCAAACGTGAGGCTCTCTGAGAACTGAGAGGTAGCCATGTATTTTAGCAACTCTGACAATATCACAAAGGCAGGGTCTCAACACTAAAATAATGATGATTACCATTCACAGAATGTTTCCCTTGCTCCTGACAATTGTGTGGTTATCAGAAATTCCTTTCATTTTTCGTAACAATCTTGTGGAGTAGACATGTTTAACTAAGTGTCAATGAAAAGAGTCCAACTCTGTAAAATATTTGAAGAGATTTATTCCGAGCCAAATATGGGTGACCCGGCCCACGACACAGCCCTCAGGAGATCCTGAGAACATGTGTCCAAGGTGGTCGGGGCGCAGCTTGGTTTTATATATTCTAGGGAGCTATGAGACTTCAATCAAATACATTTAAGAAATACATTGATTTGGTCCAGAAAGGTGGAAAAACTTGAAGCAGGGAAGGGGTTGGGGGTAGTGGGGGGTGGATGGGGGGGTGCCCCTTCCAGCTTATAGATAGATTTAAGCATTTTCTGTTTGACAATTGGTTGAATTTGTCCAAAGTCCTGGAATCAACAGAAAGAAACATCTGGGTTGCAATAAGAGTTGGTGGAGATCGAAGTTTTATCATGCAGATGAAGCCTCCAGGTAGCAGGCTTCAGAGAGAAGAGGCTGTAAATGTTTCTTATCAGACTTAAGGTCTGTGTTGCTGTTAATGCCGGAGAGGCATCATGAGGCATGTCTGACCCCGACTTCCCAACATTGCCTCAAACAGTCTCTCAGGTTAAATTTTAAAAGAGCCCTGGCTGGGGAGGAAGTGCATTCAGAAGCTTAGGGGGCCTTAGAATGTTATTTTTGGTTTACATAGGGAATATGTATATAAAAGACTGAAGCGAGGTTTTAAATGTCTAAGACAGTACAGGTGGTTAGGAGCTGAGTCCGAATCCACACCTGAGTCCATTGGGCTTCAAAGACTTGCTTTTAACCACTACATTCTATTGTCACCCGAGATGCCTGGGACCCAACTCATCTATGGTTGGGGGAGTAATGCCATGCCCGTCATAAACAGAACTTGTGGCAGCTTTTAAACATGCAGTTTCTACGACTAATACAGAGTTTTTACAGCCACCTCACCCGACTCCGGGCCGCCTGTACTTGCTGAGCACATGGGAGTATTAATTCCGAGTCCCTGAAGGGCAGCCTCAGGGTCTATTCCAAGTGATCCTGAACTCAAAGAAGAAAACTTCAGGATGACAGTGGGGCTGGACCTAGACTAACCCATTTGACGTTTCTGAAATGTATTCTGTCAAATTAAACATTTCTGCGTAAATCGAGGTCTTATTCTCAGAAATGAAAAAGGTCCAGGAACCATCTGAAAAGCTTGCATCTCAATGCTACATATGTAGTAAATATTCAAATATCATTTGATATCAACATGTGTAGAAAATAGTGTTCTCTGAGAAGCCTCAGTGCCCACCACCCAGGAAATGTGTGAAGTAATTTTTCCATAATTTTCTTATCATAGGAGGTGATACATATTAGCCAAAAATGCACACAGAATGACCTTAACTCAGATTTTTAGTCTAGCCATTTTGGCCAAACAGCAGACAAACTAAGCAATGTGGTTCTTGCCACTTTGTATTGAAATGTCAAAAAGTAATGCAAGTTTGGTGATTAGCAAATGTTCCCTACATCTATTAATTAATTGGCCTAAATGATTTAGTTATCATCAGATGTCAGATGGGAAAGTCTGACTCATTGTTCTTTCTTCCCTAAGTTTAGCTTTTCATGTGTGTGTTTTAAAAAATATAAAGTATGGCCATGGTAAAAGTCTAGAGAATTCAGACAGATATTAAAAATGAAAGTGAAAAGTCACTCATAACCCCACCAGCCAGATATAAGTGCTTCTTCAATTTTGATTTGTGTCCTTCCAGATATATTTTTATACACATACATACATAGACATTTGCAAACTGTAAATATAAATACAGTTTTATTACAAAAACAGGGTCATATGATGCATATGGTTCAGTCAGAAACTGGATTTTTAACCTAACAATGTATTATATGAAAATCTGTAAGCAAATGTGCTACCAAGTTAAAACCGCATATGCTCCTGTGTATGGATACACTTAATTTAGTTTTTGTTGGATATTTATTCTACTTAAACGTTTTGGTTTTATGGAAAACACTAGCAAATATGCCAATGCGAGCTTTTCCCAAGTGCTCAGTAGAGCCTCTTCTGAAGTGGAATTCCCAGGTAGGGACAGCAAGGGACTCATTCTAGAGGAAAGGATTTGCCCAGGGTGTGTGAGCTTCTGAAAAGACATTTCCAGTTGGCAGAAGGCAGCCTACATGGCAATTATTTGAATACTCTATGGTTACTGTTTCAAGGAATCAGAGGGAGGTAAGAGTTACAAGATCCATGCAGGGCAAAGGGAGGTAAGAGTTACAAGATCCATGCAGGGCGAAGGGAGGTAAGAGTTACAAGATCCATGATGCAGGGTGAAAAACCCTCAGGCCATTGGTTTTGCTAACTGTGCCATGGCCAGTCCCAAATCCTGAGTGGAATGACTTTTTCATGTTCTGATAATATGGGCATCACAGCAACAGAGAAGTCAAACGGACCCAAAGGTAGGGCCCGGGGCTGACAGAGAGCACCACACCTCCGTTCCACACCACCTGAACCACAGTAGGGCACCGGGGATGATGGCTCTCTGCTGGCCCAGCTGCAGGGTCCTTCAGGGAGCTCCTCAGACACAAAAGTAGGCCCCTACGATGCAAGCATATGACACCACATGTGGATGTTACACAGAATGCATTCATATGACAATACCAACATACAGACACTACACAAACGCATGCATATGACCACACCACCTGCAGTCGTTACACAGAATGCATGTGTATGACCACACCATGTACAGATGTTACACGGAATACATGCATATGACAATACCACATGCAGATGTTACATGGAATGCATGTGTATGACCACACCACATGCAGACGTTACATGGAATGCATGCATGTGACCACACCACATGCAGACGTTACATGGAATATAGGCGTATGACCACACCACATGCAGACGTTATAAGGAATGCATGCGTATGACAATATCACATGCAGACATTACACGGAATGAATGCGTATGACCACACCGTGTACAGACGTTACATGGAATACATGCATATGGCAATACCACATGCACACATTACACAGAATGCGTGTGTATGACCATACCATGTGCAGACGTTACATGGAATGCAGGCATATGACCACACCACATGCAGACGTTACGTGGAATGCATGCGTATGACCACACCATATACAGATGTTACATGGAATACATGCATATGACAATACCACATGCAGATGTTACATGGAATGCATGTGTATGACCACACCACAGGCAGACGTTACATGGAATGCATGCATATGACCACACCACATGCAGACATTACATGGAATATAGGCGTATGACCACACCACATGCAGACATTACAAGGAATGCATGCGTATGACAATATCACATGCAGACATTACACGGAATGAATGCGTATGACCACTTTGTGTACAGACTTTACACGGAATACTTGCATATGGCAATACCACATGCACATGTTACACGGAATGCATGTGTATGACAATACCATGTGCAGATGTTACACGGAATGCAGGCATATGACCACACCACATGCAGACATTACACGAAATGCAGGCGTATGACAACACTACATGCAGATGTTACATGGAAGGCTCCATCTGACACCCCTTGGGGAGGTCCAGGGACGTTATTGTTTCCAGGAGCTTGGAGTGCAGAGCTCCGTCCTCACAGGCTACGTTTCCACAGATGAAGCAGACGCATTCCAAGGCAAACAGGTACAGTTGTGAAGGGAAATTGGGAGCATTCACCTGGAAACTCTAGAAGTCATCGCTTGTGTGGGAATTGAACAGGTCATCCAGGGGGTTCTGGCATGAGAACGTGGTAGAGTGGATCAGCTCTGAGTTCACTTTTTCTGACTTCACTGCTTCTACTTAGAGGGCTGAGACCGAAGCTCATGCGGCCAACACAGTATCTTCTGATCTGATCGGGGAGTTTCGGATCCATCGCTCTCGCTGCTGGAGCACTTGCTTTTCTAACGGGTTGGCCTCTCACGTACAAAGTAACAAATATCGCCTGTTTTGTCTCATCTGTCTTTCTATGCTTAAATTCTTTTTACCTCCCCACTAAGAAGGCCTATTTCAGAGTGATGTGGGACTGATAGGGATGTGAATTTTGCCCCCTTTCATTCACTCAAGGAATCTTTAGTGAGCGCCTGCCATGCAAAGGCTCTGTCCCGTGCTTTGGGGCTGAGCTGCGGGGAAAGGCTGGCTTGGGAACCCCTTTCCTCACAGAGTGCCTATCCTGGGGATTCACAGGAGGAAGCAGAGACTAGTAAAATTAAGTAACTTCCTGGCTAGCTGATCATACGACCGAAGACAAAATCCCATCTCGTGATTCTCAGGGCAGGCTCTTTTCAGGATTCTTCATGAAAATGGACTCTCACAGTCGCTGGGTCCACCCCACCTTGGGATGGTGTCCCAGAAAGCTGCGTGTGTAAGTATTCTGACAAAATCCTCATTATTAAGCGAGGTGACACATGGCATTAGCAAATTCACTTGGTGGGCATTGGTGGGGGCAGACCAGGAAAATAAGAAAAGGAAAGAGGAAATTTAAAAACTTAAGTTCCAATATACGAAAGAGAGCAAGTTTTCCCATCCTTTCCCAGCCATATCAAGAGCTGACTTACTGAACCTCCAAGTGGAATTCTAGGCTTACTACCTAGTAGAGCTTTTTTCCTGATAATACCAGTTTCCATAATTGCTTTTACCCCAGAGAAGATTACAGCATTCCAGGATGTCTCTACCTTGCTTTGCTTTTAGTGAGAATATAAAGAAGGACAAGAAATATGTGCTATTGGATATTAATTTGCCTAAATGATCTGAAGGAGAAAAAAATGAATTTGAATCACTTCCTGTCCAATTCACCATTTAAGCACATACGGTAGTGCCCTTTTCCAAAAAAGGAAGGCACGATGCAAGAGTTACTTTCAGGGGCCACGTCTGGGTGACATTATCTCTCACACTCTCGGTGCAGCTGCCTCCAACTTTGAATTTGAAATTTTCTAATGGAAATCCTCCCTCCAGTGAGCAGGCGGCCTGACGCCACGACCGCTGGGATCAAATGTTCCTCCCACAGCAAGTGCTCGGATGAAAAACCGGGAAGGGACTGGCCGGCGTGGGGGAAACGCCATCCCTTTTCTGCTACTTCAGATGAATAATGACTCCTAAAACCCAGCACGTGAAAGGCTGAGTCACAAACACACGTGTCTAGAATAAACTACCCAGCCAACTTCCATGCGCTGTCATTGCCTGAGACCTTTAAAATACAAACGCTTCAAGTGAGGCCATTTGCAACCTTTTTGTGTCACTTTACCGATTATCCTCATACTTTAACTCATTTTCCCCCATCTCTGTCGCATCACAGTTGGAAGGGTGCACGGGGCCTCCGCGGGGAGCTGCACTTTGGGCGATATTCGCATGCAGCTCGAGGAAAATGTTTTCTTTCTAGCCCTTATTAAGGCATAAAACGGGAGGGCATTGCCGCAGGAAATCATGCCAACCTTCATTTTCCCAAGCACAGAGCAGCCCGCACAGCACACAGCAGCCCGCACAGAGCAGAGCAGCCCACACAGCACAGAGCAGCCCGCACAGAGCAGCCCGCATAGCACAGAGCAGCCCACACAAAGCCCGCACAGGTGAACAAGCAGACATTTGGTCTGAAGCGTGTATGTCGAGAATGCACGCTGGTCACAAGCAGGTGGGAAGCTCTGAATCCAGCTGCACCTCGGGAAAGGGAGCAGGGAAAGCCGCCTCTGTTGCACCCATGGTTGTTAAACACACCTGTCAGAGCTCACCTGCCGGCCTCCATTGTCCTGGGAAAGGAGAGGGCCTCGGGTCAGGATGGAGGGAAGGTGGTTTATTTGGGGTAAGGGTAAGGGACGCAGCTGCAGGACACGAGGAAGGAAGGTCAGCCCGCAATGAGGCCGGCCTTGAGCCTGCCAGAGGGTCAGAGCACCCCGGTCTGTATCACAGCAGGGTCGTCCTCTGGGAAGAGGGTGTGGTCAGGGCACCCCTGGTCTGATTGACAGTAGGGCCGTCCTCTGGGCTCTGACTTGAGTTTTGTCCACATCTGGCACTGGCTCAGATCTCCTGCCCACAGATATGGAGGCAAAGCCCAGCCGTGGAAGACATCTTAGCACTGCACACTCCATGTTGACATGAGGAGACAGCAAGAATTTGGAGAGGTGATAGTGGCACTGTCACATAGGCTTTCCTTAAATCTCACAAAGAAGAATCAAAGAATCAGAAAAATCTGCTCACAAATCGGCTGAGTGAGAATAGCATCATTGCTGCAGGTGCCAGCCGGGCAATCAGTGGCTGGCCGCTTCCTGCACCTTCCGGGCCTGGAAGAAACACTTTGGGATCTGAAGTTACTTTTTCCTTGGCCACCTAAGTGACTCTGGCTGAGGGGTGGGTGGGCAGGTGTCAGCACAGCTGTGGAAGGTGATGGGGTCCACCCTCTCACTGTGGGGACAAAGGACCAGTGCTCCAAGAACGGGGTCACTCTGGGGCCTGGGGAGCCTCCCAAGGCTGGCGGGTTTTCCCACGCCTTCAGCTTCTCCAGAACTGACCTGGGTCTTGGCTGCAGGATGACCTTGCTGGGATGTCCTTACTCTTCTGCAGTGTGAATGTCCCCCTCATCACCCAGAAAGCTGTAATGGTTGTGATCTCAGATCTACTGGGTCACGGCGGCAGCCAGGCAGAGGGTTTCCCACCTGGAAACAGACGTGCTGTGCTCACCTGGACTCTGTCGGCTCAGGGGGTCAGGGCCCAGTGCACCAGCCAACGGGCACCAGGTTCCCAGCGGGGGATCCAGGCACGAGCCACACTGTGTGCCCGCCTGCCCCTGCTCTGTGCTGCTGTGGCCTCGTTGAGGCTTCTTCTGGCCTCATTGAGGCTGACATTCAGTCTGCTTCCTGGCTATTCCATAGTTTTCCTCTCCAATTTTGTTCTTTTTTTGTTAATGATGTTGCACTATCGCTGCTGCAACAGGTCTTCTGCAAAGCCTCCAGCTAAAATTTAAATTGAACTTGGCCAGTAGATTTCGTTTTCAGCTATAAAACAAAGGCCTTCCAGTGTAAACGCCTGTTCACAGTGTGCCTTTCCATTTTACTGTCTCTTTCGCCCCTTTTCTGTGTCCTTTCTCTACTGTGGTCATGACGAGAATTCACAGAGTGCTCAAACCCTACGCTCCACTGCTGGTCTTGCCGTGAGCACAGAGGGCTCCACTCCATCCTGCAACGTGGCCAAATTGCATAATTTTCCATGTACTTGGCAAGGTGTAAAAACCTCTTCATAAAGGATTTCTTGTTCTCACAACACAAAACCCACCCACATTTGAGTGTCCTGGGATTTTAAGCTTCTTGGGTGGCGGTCCAGTGCAGTAGCCATCTGCCACAGGTGACAACTCTAATTCAATCAAAATTAAATACAACTTAAAATTCAGTTCCTCTGTCTCGGCAGCCACATTTCAAGCACTCCAAGGCCATAGGAGGCCAGGGGCCGCTGTGCAGGACATCCCAGATCTGGACACATCTGGAGGGAACCAAGTTCTATCAGACTGTGTGGGGGCAGCCAGAAACGAGCCCCACTGAGGGAGGAGGTAGGAGGAAAATACATCCCAGATAATGGGCATCAAAAAACATACTCAGTACCACATGGTCACTGAGAAACATTAAAATTCAAAATTCATTTATTGTTCAAATAATTGAGAAGCAGTGGAGAACTGACGGCTGTTACCCTGAAATTGAGGGCCGTGGAAGTGTGTGGTTTACTGATTCCCCGACTACTGTCCCAAAGCGTCAGAGCCGTCCTTCTGAACATTCAGGAGTCCTCTGTATCAGCAATATCAAGTATATTTTTATATATTTATGTATTTTTGTTATTTTATATAATATACATATATATATATATATATTTTGAGACAGCGTCTCACACTGTCACCCAACTCTGGAGTGCAGAGAGCTATCTAGCTCACTGCTGCCTCGATCTCACAGGCTCAAGCGATTTGCCTGGCTAATTTTTTGTTTGTTTTTAGTAGAGACAGGGTCTCGCTATGTTGCCCAGACTGGTCTCTAACTCCTGAGCTCAAGTGATCCTCCTGCCTCAGCATCCCACAATGCTGGGATTACAAGCATGAGCCATTGCCCCCGGCTGTATTTTTGTTATTTTGTTTATACACAGCTTCATTTAGAACAAATTTAAGTGTTTTAGATAGAACAGGGTAAACAGAGCTCAGAAAATGGAGAGTTGAACAGTAAGAGGCGCCAGAAAGGTGATAGACAAGCATTCACCGGCTATCACTTCAAGCCAGCATGATTAGCTGTGATCCAACTCTACCGGCCCAGAGCTTCTCCTTCTCCAGCAAATCCCTGGTTGTTCCTGACACTGAGTCCCTCCACACAGGCGCTGAGCTTCTGAGCATGCACCTGGGCAGAGGGGTTGCAGAACCCCTGCCCCTCTCCTCAGGGCTGCCCTGGAACCCCAGCACTGCCGTGTGTCTGGATAATTCCACCCCAGAGTAGCCCTTCCCAGCGCGCTCCATCATGAGAGACTCCTGGCTAGAACCATGGTGGGAGCACCAGAGCCAGAACAGAGCCATGAACTCCACACAGGCAAGAAGAGGATCCTGAGCCACGGAGGACGGCCGTCATCGCTAGCCACACACTCCAGAGTGCCCTCCTGCCAGAGTCGGCTGCAGGGCGCTGCCGGCTTCAGGAAACAGGCCTGATGGTGGCGGTCATCCCGTCATAGCCAGCCTTGTCACTGAGGGTCTTCAAGGAGCGTTTCTAGTTACGCTTTGTCATTAATGTATGGGCTATGGGTTTCTGGCAGCTCAAGATTAAAATAGGTTTCTTGGAACTAGTGAACATTCTGGTAATTTTTTTATTTACTGTTATTGTATATATCTAAGGTGTACAACACGATGTTTTGATATACATACAAATAGTGAAATGAACACTACAGTCAAACAAATCAACATGCCCATCACCTTCCAAAGTTACCATTCAGTGTGGATGTGGTAGGAGCACTAGAATCTACTCTCTTGGCAGATTTTCAGTATGCAATGTCATCAGCTGTAGTCTTCATTCTTCACGTTCGCTCTCCAGACATCGTCACTCTCCCTGAGTGTAAATGTGTCAGGTGAACTTTAAAGTAAGCAGCTTGGCAGAGCCCATTGTCTTTACCAAGTCGTTGTTGATTTCCTGCTGTGCGAAAGGCTGGTGGCAGACGTGGGGTGAGCCCAGCACAGACTCCAGATGTGTCCCTGGCATGACAAGATCAGCACACAGCTCCTGCATCTCACTGGGACACGTAAGAGCACCTGCTCCACATCCCTGGGGGACAAACAACTCTTCCAATGTCCACACACCTTGCTTGTGGCTGAAGCTATGACCCCTGAGAAGGTGTTGTCTGGCAATGAGAGCAGAAACTTGGAGGGAAATAATTTGCTTCAGAATCATGTGCTCTTGAATTTGCATCCCAGCTCTTCTCCATGTCATGAGACTTGGATTTATTTGGAAATAGCTTCCACTCTTTGGACTTCAGCCTTCTCATCTAGGAAATGCATATGATGATACTGACCTCATTCTGTTGCTTTGAGGATTAGATGGCCAACGTGAAACACCCATCTTGGTATCCAGTGTAGACAGCATCAAAGTCTTGGTATCCAGTGTAGACTTAATTGATGTATTGGTATCCAGTGTAGCAGCATCAGCATCTTGGTATCCAGTGTAGACAGTATCAGCATCTTGGTATCCAGCATAGCAGCATCAATGTCTTGGTATCCAGTGTAGACAGCATTGACATCTTAGTATCCAGTGTAGAAGCATCAACGTCTTGGTGTCCAGTGTAGACAGCATCAACACCTTGGTATGCAGTGTAGACACCATCCATATGTTGGTATCCAGTGTAGACAGTATCAAAGTCTTGGTATCTAGTGTGGACAGCATCGATGTCTTGTTGTCCAGTGTAGACAGCATTGACATCTTGGTGTCCAGTGTAGACAGCATCAACATCTTGGTATACAGTGTAGACAGCATCCATGTCTTGACATCCAGTGTAGACAGCATTGACCTCTTGGTATCCAATGTAGACAGCATCCATGTCTTAGTATCCAATGTAGACAGCATCAAAGTCTTGGTATCTAGTATAGACAGCATAAACTTCTTGGTATCCAGTGTAGACAGCATCCATGTCTTGGTATCCAGTGTAGACAGTATCAAAGTCTTGGTATCTAATGTAGACAGCATCGATGTCTTAGTATCCAGTGTAGACAGCATTGACGTCTTGGTGTCCAGTGTAGACAGCATTAACATCTTGGTATGCAATGTAGACAGCATCCATGTCTTGGTATCCAGTGTAGACAGTATCAAAGTCTTGGTATCTAGTGTGGACAGTATCGACGTCTTGGTGTCCAGTGTAGACACCATCAAGATCTTGGTATCCAGTGTAGACAGCTCCATGTCTTGGTATCCAGTGTAGTGGCATTAATGGCTCATATGTGTGCTCAGCCAATCCTTCCTCGGCTGATTCTTCACTCCTTTCAGACCGGGCTCACAGATGTAGCATCAAATGTTGACACTGCCCCCACCCCCCATTCCACAGGAATCCCTACCTCGTTGACTTTGCTTTTCTGTTCTCCATGTAACTTCTCTCCCCTTGGCACATCCCACACATGTCTCCCCTCACTGGAATAGGAGCTACCTGAAGAAAGAGAGTCCCCCTTTTCTGTTTACTGTTGAATTCCAGGCATGAGATCAAAGCCCACCATGGGGTAGGTGTTCAATAAATATGTATTGCTTTAACAAAAAAGGCATTCTGATACATAATCTATCCGTTGAACATAGCACTTCACCTTAGCTTTTAACAATATTATAAGTGCATCCACCCGATACGCCCACCCACCCCAGCAGCACAAAAATAAATGGATCAAAACAAGCAATAGAACAGGAGCCAGGCCCGGTGGCCACATCTGTAATCCCAGCATTTTAGGAGGCCAAGGCTTGAGCCCAGGAGTTCAAGACCAGCCTGGCCCATGTGGCAAAACCCCATCTCTACGAAATAATTTAAAAAATTAGCCGGACATGGTAGCATGCACCTATAGTCCCAGCTACTCAGGAGGCTGAGGTGGTAGGATCACTCGAGCCAGAAGGTTGAGGCTGCAGTGAGCCATGATCATTCCAGTGCACTCCAGCCTGGGTGACAGCGTCAAGAAAGAAAGAGAGAGAGACAGAGAGAGCTTTGGAATTGAGAGTTCCATCTATAATGGTATTTGATGATTACTGGTTTTGTGGCAAAAGCTTTCAGTGTTCTAGCCTGGCTTTGGGCTAGATTCCAGTGAAGAAGGGACTGTAGGGGGTGGGGGAGTCATTAGTCTGAGATTCACAGTAATTACGATAATTACAATAGAATCACAAAGGACTCTAAGGTGTCATTGATTCTATCCTTCATCTCCAAGGTCTCCAGATAGATGTATGCATATGAAATTCAACCAAGAAATGATTCCCACAGTTAGTTTAAGACACCTTTCAAATTTTAGCTTTGGTTTGAAAATAATCATTCGGCAATGGGTGTCCTCAGTGGTTGAAAACAACAGCCAGAAATCACTTCTGGTGCCTGCACAGTGGCTCACCCTTGTCATCCCAACACTTTGGGATGCTGAGGAGGGAGGATTGCTTGAGCTCAGGAGTTCGAGACAAGCCTGGGCAACATAGTGAGACCCCAACTCTAAAGAAATGTCAAAAAATTTGCTGAATATCATGGCACGCAGCTGTCATTCCAGCTACTCATGAAGCTGAGACAGGAGAATCACTTAAGCCCAGGAGCTCAAGGCTGCAGTGAGCCGAGATTGTGCCACTGCACTCCAGCCTGGGCAACAGAGCGAGATCTTGTTGAAAGAAAGAAAGAAAAAGAAAGAAAGAAAAAGAAAGAAAGAAAGAAAGAAAGAAAGAAAGAAAGAAAGAAAGAAAGAAAGAAAGAAAGAGAGAAAGAAAGAAAAGAGAGAGAGAGAGAAAGAGAAAGAAAGAAAGAGTGAGAGAGAGAGAAGAGAGAGAAAAGAAAGAAAGAGAAAAAAGAAAGAAGAAAGAAAAGAAAGAAAGAGAAAAAGAAAGGGAAGCAAATGGGATTTTAAGACGTCAGAACCTCAGAAGCAATGCAAGCATTAAAGCATAATTTTAAGAAGCTCCCTCCTTGACATAAAGAAAGAAGAAAATAGCCAGGCCCATGGTTTTGTACCACAGACATGGCTTTAGCTGATGCCCCTTTAAGATAAGATCCCTAGCCAGGCTCTCATCTGAATTCCCCTTTCCATTTCGCAGCTGTTACAATGTTTTCCAAAAAGGCTCTGGAGCTTAATTTGGATTTGAGCACTTTTGAGCCTGCACGGACCTAATGAGAAACTGCACATCAGCAGTCTGGTGCCACTTACACATCCTTTTCTCAAACAAATAATCTAATACCTCTTCTGTGAGTCAATGAATTTATTAAAGACAAATAGTCAAGCCTATCTGCAAATCCTGCAGAATCCAGCATTTTGACTAAATGACATTTAGCCAAGTTGTAACTCTAATGGCAAAGAAAACAGTAGCAGCTCGGGCTTAAACCTCTGTCCCCGGGTGAATATCATTTCCAATATCCTGTACAAATTCTTTGAAGGATTTGTGCCTGACGAACCCCCGAGGGCTTCTTCAGAATTAGTTAATAGTGAGAAAGCATCGAGCTAAATTTATTGGTTATAGTCCCCATGATTGCATAAAAAATAAAATTAAAAGCAAGCCTCTGAAGAATGGTTTATCAAGCTTGGTAATGGTATCATCTCCGACAGTGAGGTCATAAAAGCATATTAGTGACCCCCTGATGGAACGTGTTTACTGCAGAAGTCAAAGAGATTGATCATTTTACCCAGGAGGTGGCATTCAGTTCAACATACTGTTGCTGTTAGTCTGAAAAACACGCTAATCACCGAGGGCATGGCACGCAGTGAAAGCAGGAAACGAGGCACGATTATCGAGGTTTTTATAGATGGACCGGCTCCTCCCGGATGCTACAAAATAGGATCTATTCATAGACTCCTCTTCAAGAAAGGCACCAAACTCCTCGCTTAGCTCCCCAGCCTTCATGCTGAGGCCCAGGGACCGCTGGGCCAGACGACTTCTCACCTGAAGCCAGAGGAGAAGGAAAGGCCTCCGCAGAGCCTGGGTTCACGGCTGGGCTTTCAGGAGCTCTGCAGCCTTCCAATGTCTACTAAAATCAAGGTTGATTTCTTAGGGACTGACAGAATAAGCACGACTTCTTTCCTTCTTTATTTGTTTTGAGATGGAGTCTCGCTCTGTCACCCAGGCTGGAGTGTAGTGGTGTGATCTCAGCTATCTCACTGCAACCTCCGCCTCCCGGATTCAAGCGATTCTCCCACCTCAGCCTCCTGAGTAGCTGGAAATACAGGTGCCCACCACCACATCCGGCTAATTTTTGTACTTTCTGTGGAGACGGGTTTCACCATGTTGGCTGGGCTGGTCTCGAACTCCTGACCTCAGACAATCAGCCGGCCTTGGTCTCCCGAAGTGCTGGGATTACAGGCGTGAGCCACTGTGCCCAGCTAACACGACTTCTTTAGAAGCCAGCGTGAAAACAATAATGTAGGCAAGTGACTCCAAGGGCCTCCTGGGAGTCTCCCAACGACTCTGCCAGGCAGGTTTACTGGGTTCTCCCCATGTTTGAGAGAAGGAAACAAGCTTCATGCTCACACATAGCTTGGCCAAGCCGAGGTCCAGACGCAGCCTCTGACCATAGCGTGTGTCTTCACCAGCTGCGGGGACAGCACTGACGTCCATTGAGGTTCTGCAAGATGCCTGTCCTGGGGATGGATGGAGGTCGGTGACAGTGAGGGCTCTCAACCACCAAGGGGCCCTCAAACGCATCCTATTCATCCAACGCCAACACCAGTGTCAAGGTCTCGCTGGCCGTGTGCTGCTGGATAATTCACGTTCACACGCGACCTCACTTGACCTTCCTGATGAACGCACCACTCGGGAATTGTGTGATCTCCCTTGTGAGATTTAGAAAGGTGAGGTTTCCCCAAGGTCACACAGTCGTCAATTGTGGAACCTTGGACCAGACATCCCTAAAATTAAAGAACAGCCCTGACCACGTTACTAGTTCTGAAGGACCCAGAGGCCAGTGGAAGAGCCATCGCTGCCTGTCCCACCCTGGAGAAGACGGCAAGAAGGGCACCATGGTCAAATCCAGGACTGGGAGGGCTGGCTGCTCCCAGCTCTTCTCCTCCAGTTCTCCCCGTGTACGTGCCAGGAAAGCTGCGTATGCCTAATGAAGTCACTGTACACCCGCTATCTGGCACTTAGGACTCACAACAAGCGGGGGAAACCCCTTCAGACAGCACCCTGCCCCTCCATCGAGTCCTGGAAGACATTGGAACTCGGCCTGTCTCTCGTCCTGAGCCGGTGCCCACACAGGAGCTACACTGGTAGATTCCAGTCCCTGCCATTCAAAGCTGCCACCTGGTCGAGGGTAAACATCTCCAGACGGAGCTCACGTTTCCCTCTAGGCAGTCGTCAGATTCACGTAGTAAAGGAAGCACTCAGAAGGGACTGCCATGTGTGCTCACGAGGGGCCTTGAAGGGCAGTGTGAGCAGAAGCTGGGGTGTGTGGATAGCAGGGAGCTCCGGATGCAGCCTGGTGAAGGGGGCAGGTGCAGCCTTCCTGTCCGGTGCCAAGGCTCATGCCAGCCTCTCCAGTGGGTCTGGTCTTGCTCCCTCCTGACTCCAGGGCCTCCTGAGGTTCCCTCACATAAAACGAGCTCCTCTTCTACAGCCAGCACATCTGAGCCCACTCTGTTTCCTTCCTCTGTAGCAGCGTCAACTCCTGTCTTCCTGGCTTCCGTATTTATTGATCACAGCTCTGCCCTCCTATAGGGAAGTCACTCGACAGCCACTGGAAGAATCAGTGAGTAACACCCTAGGACTCAGAAGTGCTTCTGTCTCGGCCACCGTCTTGGGCAGCCATAGCAGCGGGGCACAGACTGGGTGGCTTAGGCAGTGGACGTTGGTCCCTGAGTGCCACAGGCTGGGAGCCCACTGTCCAGGCAGCAGATCCGGATTGTGGGGAAGACCTGCCTCCTGACATCCTGGCCTCCGACCTGCAGCCAGCCACCTGCTCACTGCGTCCTCACACGGCAGGGATCGGAGAGGGACGAAACCAGGGCCCTCACGTTTTTCCTTAGAAGGGCACTGATCCCATCACCGGGCCCCACCCCCATGACCCAATCACCTCCCAAAGACTCCACCTCCTAATGCCATCCCTTTGGGGTTGGGGTACCAACATAGGAATTTGGGGGACCCCACAGCCAGTCCACAGCGGGTACTTATAGCAAGTTTCTCCCCTACATTTAATTTTCCTCTTTTACGAGATGAACAGAGTAGGAATCTCCATCTCCCAGGGCTGTGTGGACAGCCACATGAGACCCTGCACAGTGGGTCGGCAGGACGCCTGGAGCCCACATGGTCCTCAGTAAATAGAGCTACCGTTCTTAGCATTACTACAGTTTTCTTTCTAGAAGGGCATGCCTAGACAGGCTGTCGCTGAAACTAACAGAAAAGCGCTGCAGAGTTTTGCTGGTGTCTGGTGCTTGGGAACATGAGCCTCAAATATGCAAATACCGTAGTGGGGGAATTGAACAGCCTGTGGGCTTCCTGCTAGACCTGGGACTTTTATCATCTGGAAGCTTCCATTAGGCATTCCAGCATTTCCCCCCCATAAATAATAAATATTATGGGCAGAATTTCTCTATTTCAGAAGGGTTGCAGGAGGAGAAGTTGAAATGAGCCGCACGACAAAATTCAAACTTTTATAAACAAATTCAGTTGTCGTTAAATTTCTTCCTGACCAATACCATAATATTATTCATTTCTACCTGAAAACCATTCCAAAGGACCGTCATGACAGACAGTAAAAAGTCCAATAGGTGACATGCACATCATCTTCCCAAAGACACAGTCACATGCACTGTTTCTCTTAAAATCTGATAATAGATTATCAGATAAAATAATAATCAGATCATAGATGATCAGATTTTAAGAGAAACAACCAGAAACGATTAGATGATTATTAAAGTGTGCTCTGATTTTGATACCAAGAATGGAAAAAGTCAAGGAAAAGGATACATTGAAAGATTATTTATTACTTTTTTGTGAGATGTCATGCACTCACTCACACAGAAATAGAACACGATGGAGCTTCTGGCTTGGAGTCCTCCTAATTCAAGAAGATGTCTGGAGTGCAGACGGTGGGGACGGGAGTGGCAGAACCACGGGCATGGGGAGGCGGCTGCCATGGTGGGGACGGGAGTGGCAGAACCACGGGCATGGGGAGGCGGCTGCCACGGTGGGGACGGAAGTGGCAGAACCACGGGCATGGGGAGGTGGCTGCCATGGTGGGGATGGGAGTGGCATAACCACAGGTGTGGGGAGGCGGCTGACGCGCCTGGCTGGGGCATGGTGAGGCTAACTGGCTCAGGGCTAGACACACTGGTTTCAATTCAGGCAGAACGAGTGTTTTCCGAGGGAAGATGTGTGTGGATGTGAGTCAGACGACACCTTAGAGAAATCATTTCGCCTCCCTAAGACAGCTAACTCAACCATAAAACTTCCCTGGAAAGGAAAACTGGCATCTGAGTTATTTGTTGCAAAAAAAAAAAAAACAAAAACCCTCCGATCCCTTGCAGGTGCCATCTTCCCTCTGTGCTGTCATCTTCCTCAGCGTCATCATCACATACACACTTTCCAACAACGCAGGATGCGGGTTAAATGGGGCAATGCGAGGCACACAGTGAGGCTGATTTGTCATTGGTGTGTGTGTTTCTGTGTGTGCATGTGTGTCTCTGTGTGTGTGTCGGTGCCTGTGTGTTTGTGTTCATGTGTGTTTTGCGTGTATCAGTGTGTCTGTATGTGTGCATGTCTATGTTGTGTGTGTCTGTGTGTGCATGTGTGTGTGTGTCCTGTGTGCATCCGTGTGTGTCTGTATGCATGTGTCTGTGTGTCGTGCATGTGTGGCTGTGTCTGTGTGTTTGTGCATCATGTGTGCATGTGTGTGCATTGCATGTGTATGTGTGTCTGTGTGTGTCATGTGTGTCTCTGTGTATATGTACGTGTGTGTGCACGCACACGCATGTGTGTGTGTTTGCATTCCTAGAACCTGGGTCCCAGATTCAGGGATTTCAGTCCAGAGTAATTTCAAAAAAGAGTGCCAGGCACAGCATGAAGCCGGCAACAACTACCCCCTTGTATATTAATAGCAAAAAATGAATAGTAAGAATACTTTTTAAGAATTTTTTAAATATTGAAAAAAATGTAGCTTTATACAAATTTTACTTCAAGGTCATTGTTTTTCTCCTTTTGTCACGGAAACGGTCCTGGACTGCCCCACCTGCAGACTGGCTTTTTGCAGCAACTGACCCGTGTAGTCAGCCAAGCAGTCCACAATATTTCACCACCACGGCAGGAGCTCCATGTGAACGTCCAGGCCCACGCACGTGGGGCTCCACGCAGTGCACAGCCAGCCGAGTCAGGGGTCTGCAGCAGAACTCCCTAACAGGGCCGGGCTGGCTACATAATGCCCGCGTACACACGTGTCTGCAATGAGACGTGTACTCAGACACACTCAGAATGTCCAGCGCCAGATGCATTATTTCCCATTAAAGAGGGGAAAAAGTAAGGGGTGGGCTGAGTGTTGGAAAAATGAAAGTGTTGGCTTCATGGGAGAAAACAGTAGGACTGGCTTGTGGGCTGTGAAGAAAGGTGTGCAAGTGTTGCCTGGGACAGAGCATGCCCGCTCACAGTGTGAGAGCTGCTGCTGGAAGCGATGGGCTCCGTGTTGAGGGATTTAAAGGGGGTTGGAGCTGCAGATCCAGGACCTCAGCATGGAAGTGAAGGAGCCAGTTTAAGCAACGGAATCCAAGTTCACTGAACATGCCACTTCCATGTCATTTGTGCCTGCTTCATGAAATACTGGCAGAGTGAAGGATTGGGAAAGAGGCTGAATGATCAAAAACTCCTACTCTCTGGCCTGTATTAAGCCATTCTTGCATTGCTATCAAGAAATACCTGAGATTGGGCCATGTATAAAGAAAAGAGGTTTAAATGGCTCACGGTTCTGCAGGCTGTACAAGAAGCGTGAAGCTGGCATCTGCTTGACTTCTGGGGAGGCCTCAGGAAGCTTCCAATCATGGCAGAAGGTGAAGACAGGGCAGGCATGTCACATGGCAGAGTAGGAGCAAGGGGGCGGGGCGTGGGCAGGGCTACACTGTTAGAGACCACATCTAGCCAGAGCTCACTTACTATCACGAGGTCAGCACCAAGAGGATGGTGCTAAACCATTCATGAGAAATCCGCCTACATGATCCAGTCACCTCCCACCAAGCCCCACCTCTAACACTGAGGATTACATTTTAACATGAGATGTGGATGGGGACACAGATCAGAACCATATCACGGCCCTTTATGGAAAATATTTGCTGACCAAGATCTATATCGTGCTGTATAAAGGAAATGATACAATGAATGTGAAGGGCTCACAGGTGCTAAAAGGGGGGCTGAAAGGGAATTGACTGCTTTTGTGCTTCCCTGTGACTTATCAAGGTCTTTGGGGGCACAAGGAGGTCTCTGGAGACCAGAAGTATGAGACCAGCCTGGGCAACATGGCAAAACCCCATCTCTAAAAAAAAAAAAAAAATAGCTGGGTATGGTGGCGTGTGCCTGTTTTCCTAGCTACTCAGGAAGCTGAGCCAGGAGGATTGCTTGAGCCTGGGAGGCAGACGTTGAAATGAGCTGCACTCCAGCCTGGGCTACAGACTGAACAACAACAACAAAAAAATCCCTTCACGAAAGCCTGATATTGCATAATCCATGGTTCTCTTCCTAAAAATTAAATATGTATGTGTTATTTTGAGGAAAATAATTTACTGAGTAAAGCTCTAAATAGTGGAGATAGCTGCTGTATTCTTTTAGATTTTTCCTTGGATGTGCATATGATACGTGTGTTTAGGGTTAATCTCATTGCTATTCCTTAATGCTTTCTCCAAAAGTTATTTAAAACATAATTAAGATAATATGCTAGATTGCCGCAAAAAATAAGGAAATGAATAAGATGGTGACAGAAAATAAATGGCACCATATGCTCATGCTATTACCAAGATCTCTCTGAAATGCAGACATCTTACCAAAATTTATTGAAAAATAATTCTTTCTTGCATGCTTAAAGATTTTTAATGCAATAACCAGACAACATGATCCCGTTTCTTTTTCCATCTAAGTGTTGTGAGAAAACAAATAAAGATTAAAGTAACACAGGTTAGAAAATGGATGTTTTAAACTACACAACCTGGACTTCACCCTGAGGCCCAGCTCATGCACCCGAGTGACACCCACTCAGACTTCCGTCCACAGGCCAGAGGCCCTGACAGAGGCAGGACTGAGGCCCCTGCAAGCGGGTGACAGTTCCTTTATTGCAGCTTAACTCCTCTTCAAACACAAGTAAATTTAGTAGATTTGCTTCTTCCATGGGTTGCCGTGTCACTGATTCAAGCCTGGGAGGGGTGACCCAAAACCTTGCTGGGAATCTCAGGATTTTGAAGGAGGCCTATAGTTTGCAAAAGCACCTTTTATTGCTTTTGAGAGACCAAGGATGTGTGGGTCTGCCTGTGAGCACACGGTCATATACCTCTCCAGAGTATAGAACTAAACCTTCTTTCCTGGTGTGGGTGCACAAAACTTAAAATTAGAAATGCTCCAGGAAGTAAGGGGTCTTCAGCATGACTGGCTGGACAGTTGTGGGAGATGCAGCATCACAGAGCCCCGCTGGGGGCAGCAGGTGCAGGAGGGGCCGGGCCCCCACTGAGGCTGGTGAACGAGAAGTCTCCTTTCGCTGTGAAAGCAACAGCTATTGTGTCCGTTCTTGATGGCACCCAGGTGGACACTGTGTGGCATCCTTCCTTGCCAGTTTACCTGGTGGTCAGTGATCAGCCTCAATGTTCTGGAAGTTTCCTCACGATTGCAGTTTTTATTGCAGATCTCACCAGGCTATTCCCACAGGTAACATCCATGGACCTGCTTTGGTACCGGGTGCAGTGGTGACCCTTCAGCCAGGCAGAGTTCTTCGAAAGAAGAGAATAAAACCTTAATCCTGTCCTCTGCCCAGTTGATTAATGAATCAAATGGCTTTGTCCTTAGTTGAAACACTGAATTTCTGCCCTCCAGGTTCTTGTCAGTGAATAAAAAAAGAATTCTGTTTTCTAATCCTCCTGAAATGCCCAGTGGGGAGAAATGATATTTATGGAGGATTGGCTGAAGGACATGAAGTCCATAAATTCCCCTGGCTAGTTTACATTTTACCCTTGGATCAAAACAGGCTACTGGCGAGCAATATATTCGAGCTGTTTTGATTGGGCCCCTCTGTGGAATTGCTTTCTGCTAAATTGATTTTTGCTATTTTTCATTTTTAATTGAATTAAAGATAATGGTAATAAACAGACACATGAATTGGTTTGTGTACATGTTGTGGGGGAAGAGAGAGAAAGAGCCATTCTAATGCAGATTCTTGAGTTCCACCTCCAGTGACTCTGATTCATGTAGGGCCCAGTACTCTGCAATTTACCAAACTCCCTGAGGGCTTCTGATACAACTGGGCTGTGTGGCACATTGAGGAGAATGCTGCCTTTGAGAAATCGGAGAAAGTTCTGGATATTTAACTCTAGAAAAATCATGTATACATGCACACCAAATTCTGTGTACAATTCCAGGAGACTCAAAACTGTTTCCCTACATAGCTAGCAAGTTAAACTCCCCCTTTTACTGCAGGAATGTTTAAGCTGCCCAAACACACTACCCATCACTTCTTTAAAAAGGTACACTAGAGGCCAGGCGTGGTGACTCACGCCTATAATCCCAGCACTTTGGGAGGCTGAGGCAGGCAGATCACGAGGTCAGAAGTTCAAGACCAGCCTGACCAACATGATGAAACCCCGTCTCTACTAAAAATACAAAAATTAGCTGGGCGTGGTGGTGCATGTCTGTAATCCCATCTACTTGGGAGGCTAAGGCAGGAGAATCGCTTGAACCTGGGAGATGGAGGTTGCAGTGAGCACAGATTGGGCTTCTGCACTCCAGGCTGGGAGACAGAGCAAGACTCTTTCTCAAAAATAAAAATAAAGTAAAATTTTAAAAGGTGCACTAGAGAATATGACTCTAGGTTTCAGGGACAGCACAACAGTGCTTTTCCAGAACAAGTGTTTTGTTTTTATCCCATGATTGTTGTGAATCTTGCAAAGGTCAGAATAATTTCCTTGCATTGGCAGCTAGGAAGCTCCTGTCTAAATATGCAGCCCACCTATAACAGCTGGGCAAGATTAAATGTTTTTGCTGTGTATCTATTTTACCTCTCTTTTATCGCCCTAATCAAAATTTTCTTTGCTACAATTCACCCCAAAATTATTTTTACCCTTTTGTGCTGTAGGTGTTTATGAAGAACTAAAAATATAATTGACTAAATTATTATTTTATGTTAGTAAATAAGTTGTCATTTAGAATCAACCTAGAAGTATCAAGATGCATTTGGGAATTGCCACTGTTTTTGTCATGCGGCCTTTTTGGCAGCTATGAAAACAGAATTTCTACTGGAATAATTGCTTCAAAGTCATGCCGATTCTACCTTCTATAACTTTCCAAAGACAGAGAAAAACACACCAGCACTTTGATTCATGTAACACTTAGGTTAAATGTCCTTAGAGTTCAGGGAGAAAACTGAAATAACAACAGAGAACAGACAGGTCATTACACATGGGGTGAGACGGTAAGTGCCTAAACAAGAACACGGGTGGGATGATGGGAACAGGGCACTTCCGTGCTGGGTTCAGTGGGAGGCACTGCTCAGAAGCAGGGACCCAGGCCTGACAAACAACTCCAACTCTTCAAAAGAACTCTTGAATCTAGCTTTTCTGTGTAGAACTATACAAAAAATTCACAAAGCAAGTGATACCTAATAAAATACGTTGTGCAGTTCATATGCAACCTGTGGGCTACCATTTTATAGCTGATTAAGGGTTAAAAGATATCAAAATCACTTCTTCATGTAGTCAGAGAGGTACCTATATTGGTGACTGAGTGTTGAGTGAGTGATGAGTAATGAATGAGTGATGAGAGATAAGTGAGTAATGACTAAATGATGAATGATGAGTGAGCAATGAGTAATGAATGAGTGTTAAGTGATGAGTGAGTGATGTGTGAGTAACAAGGGAATGATGATGAGTGAGTAATGAGTGAGTAACAAGTAATAAGTGAGTGATGAGTGAGCAGTGAGTGATGCATATGAGTGATGAATGAATTATGAGTGAGTAATGAGTGAATGATGGCTAATGGGTGAGTGACGAGTAATGAGTGAGTGGTGGGTGATGAATGAGTGGTGAGTGGTGAATGATGAGTGAGTGTTGAGTAAAAATGAGTGGTGGGTGATGAATGATGAGTGAGTGATGAGTGATGAGTGAGACATGAGCGAGTGATGAATAAGTTTGAGTGAGTAATGAGTGAGTGATAGGTGAGTGATGAGTAGCTGACAACTGAATGATGAGTGAGTAATGAGTGAGCGATTAGTGAGTAATAAGTAATAGAGTGTTGAGTGAGTGATGAATGAGTAATGACTGATACATGGGTAAGTAATAAGTGAGTGATGAGTAATGAGTGAGTAATGACTGAATGGTTAATTCAGTGAGTAATGAATGCGTGATGAGTAATGAATGAATGTTGAGTGATAAGTGAGTGTGAGTGAGCAGTGAGGAATGATGAATGATGCATGAGTAATGAGCGAATGATGAGTAATGAATGAGTGTTAAGTAATGATAAGTGATTAGTGATGAGTGAATGATGAATGATGAGTAATAAATGAGTAATGAGTGAGTGATGAGTGATGAATAAGTGTTGAGGGATGAGTGAGTGATGAGTGAGTAATGACTGAATGATTAATGAAGAGTAATGAGTGAATGACGAGTAATGAGTGAATGATGAGTAATGAATGAGTGTTGAGTAATGAGTATTGAGTGAGTGATTAGTGAGCGATGAATGAACACTGAATGATGAGTAATAAATGAGTAATGAGTGAGCGATGAATGATGAATGAGTGTTGAGTGATGAGTGAGTGTTGAGTGATGAATGAGTAATGACTGAATGATAAATGATGAGTGAGTAAGAGGTGAATAATGAGTGAGTGATGAGTGAATAATGAATGAATGATGAGTAAGTGATGAGTCAGTGATGTATTTCTAAACAACATTTTTTGATTTTGGTCATTTCTGAAATTTATACAAAAGTATATGTCTGTAACTTGTGTTTTACGTCTTTCATTCACCATTGTATTGGTGAAATTCATCCATGTTACTGCATGTGTCATGTTTATTATATTTTGAACACATTAAAATTTTGAACACATAAAATTATTCATTCTAACATAGATGGATGATTTCCACTTTTGGTTTTTATAAACAGTAATTTTTTTTTGTATCCTAGGAATTTCTCTTGTTTATAAATGTATCAGTGAGATTACCTGGTCATAGGCCATGTGTATTTTCACACATATGAGATCACTCCAAATAGTTTTCTTTTCTTTTCCTTTGTTTTTAAAAAAATTACTTATTTATTTATTTATTTATTTATTTATTTATTTGAGACAGAGTTTCACTCTTGTTGCCTAGGCTGGAGTGCAATGGTGTAATCTTGGCTTACTGCAACCTCTGCCTCCTGGGTTCAAGTGATTCTCCAGCCTCAGCCTCCCAAAGTAGCTGGGATTACAGGCATCTGCCACCATGCCTGGCCAATTTTTTATATTTTTAGTAAAAATGGGTTTCACCATGTTGGCCAGGTTGGTCTTCGAACTCCTGACCCCAGGTGATCCACCTGCCTCAGCCTCCCAAAGTGCCGGGATTACAAGCGTGAGCCACCATGCCCAGCCCAAACAGTTTTCCAAGGCATCTACTGACTTATACCACCACAAGCACTGAATGAGAGTTTCTGCTTTTCCATATACACACAAATATTTGATTTAATGAGATTTTTTTATCTTTGCCACCCAGAAATGTTCATTTTCTCTACCTCTAAAACTGAGTTATTCTCTCCCATCCCACCCAGACACATTCTCTTCCATGCCTCAACTTCCATGCCCTCCAGGAAGTCATCTCCACCTCATCAACCAACATTAAACTCCACCCCCTTCAAATTCTATGGAATTTATACTTAAAGTGGTTACTTCTGCAGATATCTCAGGAATGTATGTGAGATCCCCTCAATTAACTTATAAATGATTGGAAAATAGAAGTGACATTTATATATAATTTTATTTCCTCAGAACAAGTTCTTTATGAAATATAATTTCAGATTGAAGAGATTTAGGATTAGTGTATAAAAAGCATAACTGATGCTTGTGCCTGTGTGTGTGTACATATATATGTAATTTATAAATAGTTTTGAATCAATTATTTATAAGAGAAAGGAGAACAATAAGTGTTTAATACAACTGAGAGGAACTGATGAATTAGAAAATGGTTTCTAAATTAGCCTTTATTTCAAAAAGCTCTTTCTCTAAAATTTGTCTCAAATGAACATGTGTTTTCTGCATATTTCCACAAACTTATTTAGAAATTTTTGGTGAGTCTCTAAAAATGGAGAGGAACACTATTAAATGTGCAATATTTCATATGATGAAGGCAGTATATACAAGTGGTTTGGGGCACGAATTGTCTAATCAAAAAGACCCTAGTTCATACTCAGACTCCATCAGTTAACACCTGTGCTTCCTTGTATACATTACTTAATCTTCATAAGCTTGGTTTTCTCCTTGCAAAATGAAGATGTTAGTAAGGATATTGTGTGACATTCACAATAACTTCTTAGTCAAGTGTTATTATTATTATCCCATTTCATTGATGTGACGACTTAGGCTTATAGAACTTAAGGGGCATACCTGAGATTCAAAAGCCAGTGACAGGGTCACTGTCACTGTCACAGGTCCAGCTAGAGGCAGGGCTGGACTAAGGTCCTCTGAGTCTGCATTCCAGGTCCTTACCACTGGGTCATGGTGCTATAAATATGTATCTAAGACCTCTTAATATGTGGTTGTTTCTACTTAATGTCTCAGCCTAAGAAGCCAAAGTACACAGTAATTTCCCTATTGTTCATAGCCCAGTGTGCGTTGCTCTCCGTATGAGGAAAGTTAAGTTACATAATGATAATGATGACAATGTTGGTGATGATGATGATGACGGTGATGATGATGCTGGTGATAATGACAATGATGATAACAGTGATTATGTTGATGCTAATTATGGTGATGATGACAATGGTGATGATAATTAAGTTGATAATGATGGTGATTATGATGAATATGATTATTATGATAACCATACGATGATGATGATGATGATGAAATGATGATAATGGTAGATTGATTAGTATCATCAATGTTGACACTAATGATGGTTATGATGATGACTATGATGATGATGATAGCAATGAAGATCATGGTGATGTTGGTGATCATGACAATGATATGGTGATGGTGATGACAATGATGATGATGGTGGTGATAATGTTGATACTAATGATAATGTTGATACTAAATGATGATGAAGATAGGATGATAATGTTGGTAATAATGATGGTGATGATGACGATGATGGTGGTGCTGATGACAATGATGATAATGGAGGTGACGATGTTGATACTAATGATGATGTTGATACTGATGATGGTGACTATGATGATGATAAAGTTGATGATGATGGTGCTGATGACAATGATGATGGTGATAATGACAATGATGATGATAGTGATGATGTTGATACTTATTATGGTGATGATGACTATGATGATGATGGTGATGATTATGTTAATAATGATGGTGATTATGATGACTAAGATAACGATAATGATGATGATGGTGATGACGATGATGATGGTGATGACGATGATAATAGTGATGGTGATGATGAAGATAATGATGTCAGTGATGAGGTTGATACTAATGATGGTGATGATGATGACTATGATGATGACAATAGAAATGATAATCATGGCAATGATGGTGATGATCACAATAATGATGGTGATGGTGATGACAATGATGATGATGGTGGTGATAATGTTGATACTAATGAAGGTGATTATGATAATAATGATGGTGATGAAGATGATGGTAATGTTGATGACAATGATAATGGTGGTGATGATGACAGTGATGATGATGGTGATGATGTTTATACCAATGATGATGATGATAACAATGATAATGATGATGATGATGGTGATGATGACTATGATGATGGTGATGATTATATTAATAAGTATGGTGACAATCATGTTAATAATGACAACCATGATGACTAGAAAAGTTTGTACTTTTCATCATATTCTAACTAATGGAATGGAATATTTCTAAGGCTCCTCTAAAGCTTACCACCTTAAAGACTGGAGGCAGCTCCAAATCTTTTCTAAGACTATGTTCTGCCAAAATGTAGCATTGGGCTGGAATTCTATTCATCAACCTGGGTATAAATGTTTAAACCCATTGCATAGTAGTGTTGTATTGGATTTATTTTCATTTGGCAAAATAACCTCTATGATATTTTTTATTAAATTCAGAACTTATGAGATCTCCTTTTGTCCTTAGCACAGCAGAAACCCTCCGAGGAGTTTTGTAAATAAATGTGAACGTGAACTACTTGATATACCTTGCATGTATTTGATATACAACTTGAATGTTTCCTCCAGCATGAATCTTCTAACTGGTTGCTTTTTATTGGCAATTCTCTTAAAGCCATGTGCTTTAATGGAAGAAATATTCTTGCAAGGTTGGTTTTGTAGCAGACTTAAAGGAGTTCAGTTCACCAATTTCTACTAATTATGATAAAAAGCAATTTTCCAATCAGCTAAATCATGTAAACTGTGGTCTAAAAATTATTTTAACCAGAATCAAACTATTTAAAATTAGGAGATAATCCAAGACTTCCTACTAAAACATATATATAAATTATGCCTCTGTTTTGGTTGAGAATTTAAAGTAGAAAAAAAGAGAAAACCTAGAAAAATCTTTAAATCTTTTATGTTTTTAGCAAGAGATAGCTCCAGATTTTCAAAGTAGGAGAGACTGTAGTTTGGAGAATGGGTGATGGTTCATCCTGAAGCTGCAATAATCCACCAGGTGTACTTCTACTAGATTATACATTTGTGGAGGGAGGTTTGGAGCACATGGTAAACGTTTGGGAGGTCAAAGACCCCCACAACTCACCCCTTGGCTCCACCTGAATTTTGTATTTCGGAGTCAGAGAGTAAGCCTAATTCCATTTATTTGTACAATTATTTAATCACTCTAAAATGACATGTTACTGTTGTCACCTGGATATAGTAAGTTTGCCATACTTCAAAAAAAAAGTGGAGCTAAAGGGTACTCAGCAGTTGATGTTCTGCCAAGCTGAAAATAACATTTAACAGGCTTTTAATCTATTGTGTGGGTTATTGTCCCCAAGAGTGCTGTTGTAGTCCACAGATTTGAAAAAGTAGAACAAAGGGTCATTTTTGCTTAGCATTCATAGCTGGTGGTGTTATTATTATGGCTTTAGTAATCAAACAGGTTCACCAACAAGTACACCATTTCCATTTACCATCTATGCAAATATTTACATATTTCAAAGTAAATAAAGAACAGAAATCCAGACAGGACACTATTCAATCAAAAGTAGTTGATTGACCTCAGACCCAAAGCTGCCTCTCAGGAGACATGGATATTGTCTATGGGCTCATTCCTTCATAATTTTAAAGTCTATTTATAGGAGAAAAAATGGAGGAAAATATACTTAACATTTATTCCTGTGTGTGATTTTGCTAAATTTTCTATTGAATACCTAAAATTAGCGTCCTGAGTAAGAAACCATGCAAATGGATCATTCTGGTCTCTTGTAAACCAGGTACTATACTTGGCATAAGAATGCCCTATTATGGGCCAGGTGCGGTGGCTCACATGTAATCCCAGCACTTTGGGAGGCCGAGGCAGGTGGATCACAAGGTCAGGAGTTGAAGACCAGCCTGGACAACATGGAGAAACCCCATCTCTACTAAAAATACAAAAAATAGCCAGGCGTAGTGGCGCACGCCTGTAATCCCAGCTCAGGAGGCTGAGGCGGGAGAACCGCTTCAACCCAGGAGGCGGAGGTTGCAGTGAGCTGAGATCGTGCCATTGCACTCCAGCCTGGGTGAAAGAGCGAGACCCTATCTCAAAAAAAAAAAAAAAAAAAAAAAAAAAAAAAAAAAAAAAAAAAAAAAGAATGCCATATTATGCTGTGCCTAGAATAATAATGCTTGGATTCCATCTCTACTTTGCACATTAAAGACAGGATCACACCAGTCTTATAGTATGGTCCTCTCAGCACTGAACAATGGACAAACACTTGGTAAATTAAGGAAAGAATTAATTAATTGAGGAAATAGGTTCGGAGAGATCAGCAAGAGGACCATGAATCAAGTGTGAACTTGCACTTTCTGATTCCTTAGTTCATTCTTTGTAGCACACAGAGAAACAGACCAATTTGCCACTATTTTATCCTCTGAATCTTTATGTATTCATTATTGTGACCTGAATCTATCATGGTCTGAAACTAAACTATATCTACTTAATACAAAAATATACCCAAAGAAATAAACAAAAAGATGGAACAAAGCTACTGACTGCAAATTAGCACTTAAAAATTAGGAATTTAAATTTTTCTGTAACCTGCACCACCTAATACTTTATAAATAGCATAAATACTTCCATTATCCAATAGCAAAAATAAAATACTATGATAGATACTATGTTGCCAAAAATTGGAATCCTGATTTGATTTCTGAGTCTGGAGCCAATTTCACTGACTTAATCGAAGTGTACATTAGGTGGTGGCTGTTGCATGCTTTAAAAGTTCTGATGAAGCATTTTTACAACTATTGAATAGCAACAGAAAATGTCATGTCACAAACTTTAAAAATGTGCTGTGACCTGTCCCTTTTAGGGTTTTAAAGTCACAGTCCTTCTTGGGAGCATTTCGTGTGGCCTTGCTCGGCAAGTGCGTGGGGATTAGATGCTGGCATCAAGGCCTGAGCTCCGTGTCAGCAGCGACCTGTGTTTAAAGCTCTCCCAGGCCTCTCATGGTACTTGGCATGAAGTCCAAGCACATCACCTCCCCCTACAAAGCCCTGCTCTCCCTCCTGGCCTCGTCTCCCACCTCCTTCCCTACCTGCTCCCCTCCAGCTGTCTTGCCCACCTTCTGATTGTGAGACTCAGAAGGCCGGGGTCCCCCAGCACCCGGGACACTCCCTGACTTGCATCCCTGCCTCCCTCCTTAGTCGAGTCCCAGGTGAAATGCTGCACCTGTAGACAGGTGTTCTTGGACCACCTATTAGCCTTCTAGGGCTGCCAACACAAAGTCCTGCAAACCTGGGCTCTTAAAGCAACTGAAATCCATCCTCTCATAGTTCTGGAAGCCAGAAGTCCAGAATCAAGGTGTCAGCAGGACTGCACTCCCTCTGAAGGCCGCAGGGGATGATCCTTCCTGCTCCTTCAATCTCTGCCTTAGCGTCACGTGGTACTCTCCTGTGTTCCCTCACGACTCTCTTTGATAAGGACACCAACATACTGGACCATGGACCCACTCTACCGCAGTGGGGTCTCCTCTTAACGAGCTAGGACCCAATATCCAAACACAGTCACATCCTGAGGTCCCATGGGTTAGGACACCAACATGTATTTTCTGGGTGGGACACCGTTGAACACATAACAATCCCTATCTCTGAAGCCCCTCCCCCAGCCATTCTCATTCTCATCCCATTACTTAGTTTTACTTCTCTGTGTGGCGCTTATTGTTCACTTATTGATGGTTCACTCTGCCTTCTGCCACTAAACTATATGCTTCCCTGTCTTGCCAGCTACTCAGTTCCCTAAATCAAAAAGCAGAAACTCAATGAAGAGTTATAGAACAAATGAGTGATGCTTATATCACAAAAATGATCTTATCAACAACTATTAAAGGCCAAGAGAGATACATAACAATAACTCTCATTTTGTAGCAATTTACAAATTAGAAGTAGCTTTCTGCTGTCTTATCTCCTTTGATTTTTACAACAATCCAGTTAGACAAGCAAGGGAAATTTATCTACTTTTTAACAGGAGAAACTACAACTCAAAGAGGCGAATCACTCAGCCATGAACAGCGGAGACAGAAAGGTCTTTCCACTCTGATTTCTTTTTCTTTTTTTCTGAAATCTTGCTACAGACAAGCTCCTTGCCTTGTTGAGGGGTAGCATGTATACACAAAAACATAAAGAAAGGTAGGTTATGGCAGGCTCATTGTCAAGTCTAGGGGTAGGATTTTCTCCAGACTGTGGGTCTCATTACATCTGACTTTGTTTATTCCATTTTTAATTTCCACAAAAACAGTGTGTGTTGGTTTTGGGACTCCTTATGAATTGGCCCTGCTAATTGTCAGGCAGGATGACTCTAGAGCTGACAAAATGGTGAAACAAAGAATGGGCTTTTTTGAGTTATCAGGATTTCTTAACATTCTGTAGGCACACAAATGCTAGGTGTCAGTAAGATTGTAAAACTCCAGTTAAATAAAAGGTTTCAAAATGGTTCCTAAAAAGAAATAATAAGCCAGGCACGGTGGCTCATGCCTGTAATCCTAGCACTTTAGGAGGCCAAGATGGGAGGATTGCTTGAGCCCAGGAGTTCCAGACCAGCCTGGGCAACGTGGCACAACCCTGTCTCTACAAAAAATAAAAACAATTAGCCGGGTGTGGTGGCTTACACCTGTAATCCCAACTACTTGGGAGGCTGAGGTGGGAGGATTGCTTAAGCCTGGTTGAGGCTTGTGTGAGCCATGATCATGCCACTGCCCTTCAACCTGGGCCACAGAGCAAGAGTCTGTCTCTTAAAAAATAATAACAATTAAATAAATACATAAACAAAAAGAAATTATAAAATTGTGAGGACTGCAGAAGGCATTTCCTCTGGCCAGTTACTTTTTCATTGTTCCTAAGAGATATGAAGCACCTGCCATGATGTGGACTTCAAGGTCCTCTTCCTTCAGCATGGTAATCCTGTAAGGCTTAGACATGGCATCCTATCTGCTGACGTATGTAGTTCATGAGACAACTGGGGTATGGTCCTTGGAAACAGAGAACCAAGTTCAGCTCTGGATTCTTACTTTCATGTGTATATTGTCTTGGGTGAGCCATTTAACGGCTTATTTAAAAAAACAATAGCAGGCTGGCTGTCTTGGCTCAGGCGGGTGATTCCAGCACTTTGGGAAGCCAAAGAGAGCAGATCACTTGAGGTCAGGAGTTCAAGACCAGCCTGGACAACATGGAGAAACCCCATCTCTACTAAAAATACAAAAATTAGCTGGGCAGGATGGCACACACCTGTAATCCCAGCTACTGGGGAAGCTGAGGCAGGAGAATCATTTGAACCCAGGAGGCAGAGGTTGCAGTAAGCCCTGATTGTCTCACTGCACTCCAGCCTGGGCCACAGAGCGAGACTCTGTCTCAGAAAAACAAAATTAAATTAAAATAAAAATTAAAAGCAGTAGTAAAAGAAACCTCAGAGGATTTTTTCAGTGGTCATTTGAATTAATATATTGGAACTTACCTTGTAAACAGTTAAGTGCTTTCAGATATAAGGTTATCTTAACATTTAACCTACTATTCTTAATTATTATTTCCATATAATCTATAGTATACTATTGCCTGCTATTATCATCCCATTATTGCCTTTCTGAGTGGTGGAATCCTACTCTTCCTCCAGGGCAAGTTCCCAAGGCAAGTCCTGGGTGAAGCCTTCCACTAAAGGGGCTGGCGTTAGGCTTGCTTCTTCTCCTAGGCCGTTGTTAGTGTTGCTTCTTCTCCTGGGCCTCCTGGTTTTTCATGTATTCTCTGATGACAGCATCTTGCACAGGCTCACTTACCTGACAGCTAACGTGTGCTTCTGTTTATCACAAAATTGTCAGTCAGCTGCAAGGCTGAGGTCTTTGTTGTCCGTGCACCTGTAGCAGCAGCTTGCCTAGACAGACCCTCATGATATGAAAGTATGTGGTGTATGGAGACATTTTAATTTAAATATCCCACAGTATTTTGACCCCCTCTCATTCAGGCTCACCAGATATTTCACCCAAGAGAGACACCCAAGAGTGTTTGATCCTAATATGCTAATTATTAGGATCCCTCATCCAGCATTTCTTGTATACAATTGTGTTGGAGTCTCTTCTTCCTTACATATTCTTCTTCTAGGCTTCAGAAAGTGCTGGTTTGAGAAGTTCAGAGTTCGTCTTACCTAAAGACCAGGCAGGTTGAAATAACCGTGGTGTCTTCTGCCTAATAATTGTTACTCAAAAGCATTTGCCATCTTTATAGTTTTCCCAGTGGTTTAAAAAACTCTGAGATTGACTTTGTTGTTTTTCTTCCGCTAATGCAAACAGAAAGCTCGAGACTTGCGGATCCGCTACTAATGGGCAACACATTAAGTGGCGGCTGTGAAGGTATTTGTTCCTCTGGACTCACAGGAAAATGTTAGATCAGAGGATACTGAGAACTGTGACCAGACGACTTGGGTAGATCCACTGCCCTGATTGCAGAAGCTCCCAGAAAGGCACGGTCACGCCTTGCTGAAAGGGAAGGTCAGGTGCATCCGGTGCAGAAGCTCCCAGAGAGGCACTGTCACGCCTTGCTGAAAGGGAAGGTCAGGTGCATCCGGTGCAGAAGCTCCCAGAGAGGCACGGTCACGCCTTGCTGAAAGGGAAGGTCAGATGCATCCGTGGGCCTCCACAAGTGCATGAGAAGTTGATCAATGTCTTAGAGTTTAAGTATCAGGGAGTAACTTTGGCCAAGAAATGAGCAAATTGAGAGACATTTGGCTGCAATACTTCACACAGCCGCGAGAAATCTGGCAGAAGCAAGCCTCACTGATCCGAGGTGCGCAGTCGCGCTTGCTGGCACCCGGCCAGGAGCCTGTGCCCCCTGAAGCTGCACAATCCATCTTCACCTTAGTGGAGGATGCCTTCCAATTTCTCTCAAAAAGGAGGGCAAACACTGTATAAGGTCTCCCTGATCAGATCGGAATGTGTTCCCATCTCATCCTGGTTTGCTGACCAAGAAGAAACCATCTCCTTCTAAAACCTGTCAGACGATATCGTCAAGGACCGCAGATATGCGAGCGTTTTCCCCCGAGGAAACACAGATACACGTATGCTGTTAGGGAGCATTGCTCTTCTCAGACTCGCGCAGGCCCAGAATTCACAGAGAAGACATGCATGCAGGGAGATGCAGAATATTCCAGTGTGAGGAGCGGACGTGCATTCGCCAAAAAGAAAAGTCCTCCCTTTCACGTCTCCCCAGTGTTAGGCTATTTCATGGGGTGCAGGGCTCATTGATCATTGATCATTGATCCTGCAGCCTGGCCTATATCCAGCACAGCCCATTCTTTGGTGGGAGAGAGATATCCAAGTTCTCCACCGTCCCACCAGGGCAATTTGGCCACTTGTCTATTTTCACACCAATTCAGTAATGCCCTCCCTGAAGGTCACTCTTTAGGAAAGGCCTTAATTAAGATTTCTGCCTGCAGCAAATTGTAGAAACTGTAATACATCACACCAGCAACCCAGACACAGGTCATTGGCTACTCAGACCTGCTCATGTGATGTGAGCAAATATTACCATTGTCACTTTGCTGTGGGTCATTTTTGGATGTGCTTTAAAAGGCAGTGCCAACTGTAGGATGTTTGTACATCCTTTTTTTTTTTCTTTGCCAAATCTGAGATAATGTCTGTATCTTTTCAAAGAAAATGCTTGCCTCAAAAGTCTACACTAGCTTATAAATTATGAAATAGTCAGATGCTTAAGAGAGATTTTAATACATAAAAAGTAATGGAATGGATTCTTTATATTGAGTGCTTTCTCAAAGCAAACCAAGAAACATGTAGATGACCTTCTTGGAAATTACCACAATTTATGAAAAATTTGAAGCTGATATATTAACTTTTAAATTAGTACAATGGAAAGACTCTAATTCATTGTAAATTCAACAAATTCCCTTTCATCTGTTTGTTTGTTTGTTTGTTTCCTTTTTTCTTCCTCCTCTGTGGAATCATGCCAAGCTCTCCTCACACCCGCGGCACGTGTTTTTAACTCCCAGTAGGTGAAGAGCTACCACCACACTTTTGTTTTTCTGACCACTCTTGGTTCTTCAGAGCTGTCAATCTGTATTTAGTTCACACCAGCCTGAAAACATAAATTGCAAAACAAACATCTTTTTGCACATTTTGTAATACCTAAACTTTTTCCCTAAACCATGTCCGTTCCCAAATGTCTATATTCTTTTCTTCCTGCTTTATTCCAACTACACTTTAGGAATAAGTCAGATATCCCAAGTCATGTTCCATGACCTTTATTTACCCCACCTAACCCTTGGCCCAAAATGAAGTGTGAGGCTATAGCTTCGCCCACAACCCAGGGCCGGGAGCAGGTCAGGGCAGGGCATGGGTGAGCCCACAGGGTCTCCACTCAGCAGCAGGCACCTCCTCTCCTTCCCCTCAAGAGCTATAAAGAAGTCCAGCTCCCAGACCAGCAAGAGCTTATCTTGCCAAATTCTGTTTACGAGAAGTGTGAGTGTGTGTGTGGAGAATGTTTATTTAGTCTTTTTGTTTTCACTTGTTTTCAATAACTTGCAACTGAAGAGCTCAAGTAATTTAAATGTTACTGGGGTTCCCAACCCTAATGCTGCATCAGAATCACCAGATAACTTGACAACCCTTCACCTGAGTCTCACCCAGTCGTAGATGGATTTGGTTTGACTTTCCAGGTTTGCTATCCAAGGCCTTGGCCAAGGGGAGCAGGGCTGAAATCCGGCCTCCCCAGCATCCGGGCTCCCACGGCACCCACGCGTGCAGCTGATGAGCCTCTCTGGTGGGGCCCAGGGCTCCACGACTTTCTAGAGTTCTTGCAGATAATTCTCACACACAATGAGCACTGAGAGCACAGAGGTCTGTGTGGGAGGTCTGAGTGGGAGACTTAGAACAGAGATTCGCGTGTTCTCTCTTCTTTCCTCTTCCAACCCTAAACCAGTTACATGTACTTCATCTATCTCAATTCCAGTGACGTTCACTCCTCTTGCATTTTAAATGTGGGACTCTCTTACACCAGTAAATCGAGATTTCTGGCTCCTCCTGAAATATCTGGCAGTCCTGGATACCTTCCCATGTGGTAGCAATGAGTCATGGTGTCTCTGGTCAGTCCCCACCAACCCTGGTCACCCTCAGTTCTGAGGCTGATGCTGATGGCTGGCCGTCGTTTCTTTTGCACCCCTGCTTTTTCTTGAGGTCTGTATACCCATATTTCTGTCAAAAATAAGAAAATAAAACACAGTCCAAGGAAGACACAGTAGAATATATTTGTATGAAAGCAGCCCTAACTGCTTAATATACAGCCAAAGCAAATCTGTTATAAACCTAGCTTGATTAACTCTGGCCAGACACAGCCAGTCCCTAAAGACCTTGGTGTTTTTAATAGCTCCACCTGAAATGTGCAGACTTTGTGTCTATATTGTTCGACTCTCCAGATGATTTACTTAATTATCCATCTAGAGTTACCTCTGTAGAATATATTAATGATCTGGAATTTAGAGAGAATAATGCAATAATTAAGAATTCTATTTATCATCTCCCAAACAGATAAACCTGGAATAGATGCCATCTAGAAAGCATCTCTGAGATGTGCTTAACAACACACACACACACACACACACACACACACACACACAGGCGTCCACACACATACACATGCACACACACATTTTCATTGTGTTTTTCCTCTAACGAGGTTTACAGTAGAGCTTGAGATAATTGGCCCAACCACAAAACTCAAAGATGAATGAGTAGCCGATGTGGCACCTCTAGGAACTGTGCATCTTCTCCCTTCAATACAACCATACATAGGCCAGAAATACAGCACCTCAGAGCTTCTGCCAGCTGAAATAGATTTTAATTCCCTGCCAAGCCTTCACAAACATTCAATTGCTGGAATCCAATGATGAAGTTAGAAGAGAGAGGGAGAGTCATATATTTTATTTCTCATTGGACGTAACTTGAACACTCCAAGCCAAGGCCAATATTTTGTCCATTACAATCACATTGCAAGTCTGAATTAGAATCGTTTCTGGTTTCAAACACTCAAGGTGGGTGAGACAGAGGAATGAACATGGGGGATCAGGGCTGCCTCATTCTCACCCCAAACAATTCTGCAAAGCCTAAGCCTTCGCCATAGACGGAGCGTTATTATTCCATCCCACCGGGGCACGTGTTGTGACAAGGTGACAGGACAGCAATGAACAAGTTAGTGTTTCAGCCTTGTGGATCAGACCAGGAGAGTCATCAACTATGCTGACGAGACCTGGGACGCTTGGTGGACTCTTCTGCCCCCACCCACTGCAAGTGGGCAGCGGCCAGAGACTGGCGGGTGAGAGTTGTTGATGCAGGCTGCGTGCGGAGCTGCGTGGTGCCTACATATCCCCCCACATGCTGCCATAGGTACATGTCTACATGTCTGCCTGCATCTGCACCTATATCCATGCCTCTTAGGTAGAGATCTATCTATTAGTGCACTTACAAATCTACCTACACATCTGTATATGTACACACATGCTCACAAGTGCACCTACATATCTACCTGCATACCTACATAGGTACCTACCTCCAAGTACACCTACAAATCCACCTACATACCTACATAAATACCTACCTGCACACTTACCTCCAAGTACACCTACAGATCCACCTACATACCTACATAGGTATCTACATGCATAGCTACCTACAAATGCACCTACTAATCCACCTACATACCTACACAGGTATCTACATGCATACCTACCTATAAGTGCACATAGAAATCCACCTACATACCTACATAGGTACCTTCCTGCAAGCGCACCTACAAATCCACCTACATACTTATATATGTACCTGTATACATACCTGAATGCCGACATAGACACATACCTACATGCATACCTACATCTGTACCCATTTCCATACCTACCTGCATAGATACCTGCACACCTACCTACAAGTGCACCTACAAATCCACCTACATAGCCACATATGTACCTACATACATATCTACATAGGTGCCTACATACACACCTGCATGCCAACATAGGTGGATGTCTACATGGGTACCTGCATTTGTACCTACATCCATCCCTCCCTGTATATGTACCTATATGCACGCCTACATACACACCTCCACACCCACAGACACACGCACTTACACATGTGCCTCCTCACCTGCATACATGCATGCACACCTACCTATGCAGAAAGGCAATGAGTGTAGCTGCCATAGCATTTCCCAGAGGTCCCCATCAAATGAATATTCTGGAGAATAAACGCCATGTGGTTGCCCAGGTCTATAAGAGGAATGGCTTAAGCTTCTTCCCATTCCTTACGTTCCACCCAGCATTTTCATGGAGAAGTGACTTGGACAGAACAGACTTGGAGCCACAGGAAGGGACGACAGCGTGGACAGGGCTCTAGCTCTGAGCTTGAGCGGTGGGCGGCAGCCTGGGGTGGCAGCGGCACAGGGACGCTCAGCTGTCCGGCAACTTCTCCTTCTCAGTTTCTCACACGCGAGTGTTTAACGTGAGGGTGCATGATGAACATGCGAGCATTTAAAGAAAATTGTGTGCCCAAGAAATTTTAGCTCTGACTGTTTTTGCACACCACTTTTCAAACCAATTTTCAAGGATTTTTCTCCTTCTCAGCCAAATGAGAGAAATAAAGTCTGCAGAAGAGAGATAGTATTGTCCTGGGAAATATCGAGAGGATTAATGTATCTTGACTGAAGCTAGCAGGAAATTGTGTTTCAGTTGTGCTTATGGGCTTATTGTGAAGACGTCACATCAAGAACAATTCGTTGAACAAGAAGTATAGGGTGTAGAAATAGGAAGGCAAAGTCAATGGGGAGAGACAGATTCAATAGTGGCTTTGATGTGTATCTGCATTGTTAATAAATGAGATGCTGACACTTTCATTCAGGGGAAGAAAAATCCCCTGGCGCATGGCGGAATAAGAAAGGAATTTTTCATTTAAGTTACTTCCGTGTCATATTTGAAACTGGAGGGATAATTCCAGCACTGTTGATTCGTAAATACTTTGAAAGTTGAAATGGTTATGGCAAGCTCAACACTAACTTGACTAAACAACGTCGTATTACAGTCTCTCCTGCAGGTGCTGTCTTTTTAAACCTGTAAATGCTAAATCATTAGTTGCTTCGTCATTTTCAAACACTTTTGTTGGCATCACATAATAATCAAACTGACTTTCTGGGTATTATCAGGTAAAGAGCACCACTGAAAGACCAGAAAAATAATACTCTGGGATAGAAAGGACAAAGAGATTTCTGACTTTTCCACAGAGAGCTGTGTTTCTTCTCAAGGAAAAAAAAATGCTCTTGAAAAGTATTCGCTCTCTAGGGAGCTAAGTATTGTTTTCCGTGAACATCTGCATAGCTAGGACGAAACGACTGTACCATTGTCTTGGAATTACCATCGAACTGTAAAGTTGTCGTTCAGGATTCTGTGACTTCTTACACCGTTAGAACAGTGTGGTTTCAGTAACGGGGTTTCCTAGATCCCAAAAGACCTGGAGCTCACGTGTTCAGAAAAATGACTAACAAAATAACTACTTTGTTTGAAACAGAAACGTGTTGAAATATGCCATTTTGAAATGTACTATTATTCTCAGCTTTTACTTTTAGCATCATTTGAATCTGCAATTTAAATCTTACGGGACTTTTAGAAAAAAAGGGAAACCAAGGAGAAATAAAAATGTTTACCATAGGTTCAAAGCTCTAGTTATAATAATTAGCACAACACAGTGTACAGGAACATTGAACTCAGTTACTAGGATGCTTTTAGTGTAACTAAACAGGAAATGAAATAAAATCATGTCCAGAAACAGGAAAAATAAAAACATAATTTCACTGGAAAGTTAGAACACATACATGGGCAATTTACAAGTTGAGCTACAAATTTAGCATGGGGCTTCCTTGCAGCCCAAGTATAAAGAAAATTTTGACAGCTTCACAGTTTTGTGAACTTGCTATTCATAGGGAACAATGTCTGTCCATGGCCCCCGAGAAACCTAGAACACAGATGGAAGAAGGGTCCTGCACGAGTGTCCACATAAGCAGTCCTGACAAGGGTTGTCATCCTCACTGCATTCCAATGCAGACAACAAGAATATCGTGAGACAGCTTTGCTGGGTATGTGGGTGTTTCATCTTTTTTGTGGTAAAATACACATAATACAAAATTTACCACTTTTTAGTGTACAGTTCCATCATGTTAAGCACCTTCTCAGTGTTGTGCCAACACCTCACCATCCACCCATAGAACCATTTCATCTTCCAAACTGAAACTCTGTCCCCATTAAACACGAACTCCCACTTCTCCTCCTGGTAACCTCTATTTTGCTTTTGGTCTCTACGAATTTGACAACTCTCAGTCCCTCATGCAAGTGGAATCACACAGGATTTGTCCTTTCATGGCCGGCTCATCTCACTTAGCCTAATGCCTCCATTATGCACAAACCAGAATTCCAGTCCATTGTATGGATATCCATTCGTGCACTGATGGACACTTGGGTTGTTTCTACCTTTTGGCTGTTGTGAATAACGCTATTGTGTACATGGGTATTGAATATCCATTCTAGCCCCACTTTCAATTATCTGGGACGTATACCCACAAGTGCAAGTTAGGAATCATGCTTACTTTTCCCAAGGAACCGCCATACTGTTCTTCCCAAGTGGCTGCACCACGTTATATTCACACTGGCAATTTACAAGTTTCAGTTTCTCCACATTCTCACCAATAATTACATTTCCTGTGGTGTGTTTTAGTAATAGCCATCCTCATGGGTATGAAGTGGTCTCTCATGGTTTTGATTTTTATTTCTCTAATAATTTGTCATGTTGAGCATCTTTTCATATGTTTAGTGGCCATGTGTACACTTTCTCTGGATAAATCTCTCTTCAAATCTTTTGCCAGTTTTTAAGTTGGATGGGTTAAGTGTTGTTGACTTGTATTTCTTTTCTATTCTCTTTTTTTTTTTTTTTGAGATGGAGTCTCACTCTGTCGTCCAGGCTGGAGTGCAGTGGCACAATCTCAGCTCACTGCAAACTTCACCTCCTGGGTTCAAGCCATTCTCCTGCCTCAGCCTCCTGAGTAGCTGGGATTACAGGCACCCGCCCCCATACCCAGCTAATTTTTGTATTTTTAGTAGAGATGGGGTTTCACCATGTTGGCCAGGCTGGTCTTGAACTCCTGACCTCGTGATCCGCACACTTCAGCTGGGATGATGCGTGAGCCACTGTGCCCAGCCCATATTTCTTTGTATATTCTGGATATTAATCTCTCATCAAATATATGATTTGCAAATATTTTCTCCCACTCTGTGGGTTTCTATTTCACTCCCTTGATGGTGTCCTTTGAGGAATAAAAGCTTTTAAATGTGAAGTAGAATTTATCTACTTCTTCTTTCATCACCTATGCTTTTGGTGTCATTCCAAGAAATCAGTGCCAAACCCAGTGTCATGAGGCTTTTCCCTGATGAGCTTTTCTACGAGTTCTATAGTTTTAGGTCATATATTTAGGTCTTTGATCAATTTTGAGTTTGTTTTTGCAGCTGGTGTTACTTCACTCTTTTTTACATGTGAATATTCAGTTTTCCCAGCACCACTTGTTGAAAAGACTATCCTTTCTGCATTGACTAGTTGCAGCACCTTTGTCAAAATTCATTTGACTACATATGCAAAGGTTTATTTCTGAGCCCTCTGTTCTCTTTCATTGGTCTGTGTGTGGTATGCTAACACCACTCTGTTTTGATTTGTAGCTTTGTAGTACGTTTTGAAGTCAGGAAGTGAAGTCAGGATTCTCCAACTTTGTTCTCCTTTTCTTAAAGATTATTTTGACCATTCAAGGCCCTTCGAGATTCCATGAATTTTAGGATGGGTTTTTCTATTTCTGAAAAAAAGTCCTTGGGATGTTGATAGAGATTACATTGAATCTGTGGATTACACTGGGTAGTGTTATCCACTTAATAATATTAAGCCTTCCAATCATAAGATGTCTTTCCATTTATTTATGTCTTTTATTTCTTTCAACAATGTTTTGTAGTTTTCAGTATCCAAGGCTTTTACCTTCTTGGTTAAGTTTATCCCTAAGTATTTTATTCTTTTAGATGAGACCATAAATGGAACTTTTTTTTTTTTGAAACAGAGTCTCACTCACTCTTTCACCCAGGTTGGAGTGCAGGGGCACAATCTCAGCTCACTGCAAGCTCCGCCTCCCAGGTTCACACCATTCTCCTACCTCAGCCTCCTGAGTAGCGGGGACTACAGGTGCCAGCCACCACGGCCAGCTAATTTTTTGTATTTTTAGTAGAGATGGGGTTTCACCATGTTAGCCAGGATGGTCTCAATCTCCTGACCTAGTGACCCGCCCGCCTTGGCCTCCCAAAGTGCTGGGATTACAGGCGTGAGCCACCACGCCCGGCCAGAACTTTTTCTTAATTTCCTTTTCAGATTGATCATTGTTTGTACATAGAAATGCAACTAATTTTAAGTGTTGATTTTATATTCTGCAACTTTGTTGAATTCATTTATTAGTTCTAACAATGCTTTTAGTTTTTCTACATATGATATCAGGTCACCTGCAAACAGATAATTTTAATTCTTTTTTTCCAAGTAGGATGCCTTTTACTTCTTTCATCTTGCCTAATTGCTCTGGCCAAAATTTCCAATACTGTATTAAATAAAAGTGGTAAAGTATCTTTCTCTTTGTCCTGTTCTAGAGGAAAAGCTTTCTGTCTTTTACCATTGAGTACAATTTTCGCTGTAGGTTTTTTTTTGTTTTGTATATGGTTTTTATCATATTGAGAGCATTTATTTCTATTTCCAGTTTGTTGAGTTTTTAAAGACAGCTCCTTCCATCTCTTCTGTGTGTCATTTGGGTGCATAATCCAAAATGCAATGGAGTAAAGCACGTCTATGGAGTAAAGCACGTCTATGGAGGGCCCCAAAGAACCTGGCTTAAGCACGGAGTCCTTCGATGTTTTGTCTTGATATTGAGAGAAGCTAAACCTTCTCTTGACAAATGAATGAAGTGTGTGTCCTTCAAATACACTTCCCTGTAAATCATTGTTCTCAGCTTTGATCAACATAAATCAATAGTAAAATGAATCCCTCAAATAACTAAGTAAATTGACCTCCGGCCTGGTGTTATTGGTGGAAACCAGTTACATGTTGGAGCCGCCACCCCTCTTCAGCCTCTCCCCTCCCTATAGGGCTCTGCCCTCCATACGCCCAAATGCCACCCATGGTTTAGGAGGCAGAACCCGACTCTGGATTTCCTGCTTTCCTCAGCAGGCTGTCCTGGGTTCCTCTCAGAAACAGGTTTTCAATCAAAAGCTAGGCTGTGAGATCCTACCTACTCTACTCCAAGCTGCTCTACCAAAACTCCATCTCCCAGCCTCTGCTGTCCGGGCCCTGAAGCCACACAAACCCGCCGTGTGAGGCCGAGGGTCTGAAAGGAATCTGCTATCCCTAACTTGTCATTCACGTGTCATGGGTGATCTGCTACTGCCTGGGCCCCAGCAAACCTGTCACACATCAGGGCTTCTTCCTGCTCCACGTGGCTGCTGCCTTGCCTGGGTTCTGGTCTGTACCCCCGGTCCTCACTCCAAACAGTCCCTCTGAATGGAGTCCCAGCCTTCAGCCTAACTCCTGCCTTAAGAATTGGACTCTGTACTGCAGCTACTAACTGGGATCCTGGTTGACCCAGAGAGGTCACCCTGTAGCTGAGAGGCTGAGATGCGGCCACACATACACAACCTATGCTGCCCCTGCCCAAGACAGCTGCAGCCCCACTCCCCTCTTGGCTGTTATGCCATAGACTGCTGGCTTACCTTTTGGGAGGGTGCTACCAGCTATTGGATTCGTTGGTGAAGACCCATCTGTTTGCAGGCCCCTCCTCCTCCAAGGGTCCCCATCTTGGTTCTCTCCCACCTGAGGGTTCCCATTTTGGCACTCTCCCATCTGAGGGTCCTTATTTTGGCACTCCTGTCGGAGGGTCCTTATTTTGGTGCTCTCCCGTCCGAAGGTCCTTATTTTGGTGCTCTCCCGTCCAAGGGTCCTTATTTTGGCGCTCTCCCATCCGAGGGTCCTTGTTTTGGCGCTCTCCCGTCCGAGGGTCCTTGTTTTGGCGCTCTCCCGTCCGAGGGTCCTTGTTTTGGTGCTCTCCCGTCCGAGGGTCCTTGTTTTGGTGCTCTCCCGTCCGAGGGTCCTTGTTTTGGCGCACTCCCATCTGAGGGTCCTTGTTTTGGTGCTCTCCCGTCTGAGGGTCCTTATTTTGACATTCTCCTGATGGTCAGCAGTTAGTGACGGTGCTCATCATCATTTTGAGAAGCTGAACTCTTTCAAACAACAATGTCTGTGTCTAGATTTAGGACATTTTCCCCAACAAATTTAAGAGTTGGACCCAGGGTACTAAGTTACTTAAACGGAGATACTAAGGAAGTGTAGAGCAGATGACAGAGGCATTCTCATGACTCTACTTATATCCAGCCATGGAAACCTCCATGCCGTGTGCCAACGCCAGGTTGAGACACAGAAGACCCACCCCCTCTGATGTCCGTGACGCTGTTCCCAGGGCTTCCATCACATCTGTGCAGCTCAGAGTTTTACTGAGACATGAAAGAGAATAACATCACGCCTGAATGCTATGTACTTCCTAAGACACTGCACACTGTTCTAGGACTAGAAAGGCCCAGCAGAGCTCCCATGACTGGAGTCTCTGCCTGTTAGGGCAGCACTGGCGTCTCCTTTGGCTTTGCAGGCCCAGATCCTCACTCACAGCTCAGTAAAGGCTCGGGGAGGTTTGCTGCAGTCGGGTTTTTCACAGGGAGAGAACCCAAGCACAGGCACACAGTGGGACAGTTTACCTGGGCATCACAGGATCCCACATGGACCCTCTTAGTCCTCCAGCAGAGGGGCTCTTCCCTGGGATGCATGTCAGGGCAGGAGGGAACCTCCCAGTGCACCTGTGAGAAGCGTTCTGGGGAGGCACCTGCCCGCCACAGGATTGTTAAAGACATGTGTGGCCCACAGAAGTCCCAAGTTAGATTTAAACATAGCATGAAATAACACGTGGCTGTGGTCTCTATTTATGTCTAAGGGAAATAGTCACGAAGGCATTCTCTGAAAATTAAGCACCCCGCCTATCGTCTGGAAAGAGGCGCACAGGCTGACGCTTCATGTTGGTCCCCATATTTTTATCTATGTATGGATGGCTTTTCATTGCTTCTGGCACATCACCGTGTTGTTGTGGGTGCAATGGCTGGGGCTGGTGTCACGGGTGGTAAAAGAATTTACCAAGACAGTCGTGGGTAAAGAAGGCAGATTTATTAGAGAAAGCACGAAGATACGTTGCAAGAAAGCAATGGGCAGCACAGCAGAAAAGGGGCCGTCTGCAAAGAAGCAGGGCTGGAAGGAAGCTGTATAGGGTCATGCTGGAGGGGGCCATGGGCAGATAAGGTCATGCTGCTGGGGCTACTTGTGGAGTGAGGTATTTGGGAACAGCATGTCATGCCAGCAGTTGCCTGTGATTGGCCGTCTCTCAGAACAACTGTTCTCCCCGACCTGTAGCGCCTTCCTCAACGTTACTTACTAATCTTATCAGGACTCCACACTTCTGATCAGTGCAGTCACTTCTCCTGTAAGGAAGTGGTGTTAGCCATGGGTCAGAGGAGAAAGCCAGCGTTTGCAGGATCGGGCAACCCAAGTTTCACAGCCATGAGTGAGAGGCAGTGCTGCGCAGTGGGAGGGTGCCCTTGCGTGGCTGTGAAGGTGCTCTAGGGGTTGGATCGTAGGCCAGGTGGGGATCTGGGGAGAGTCATCATGATTTGCCACAAGGTCAGCATCCGGAACCCGTGGGCAGCCCAGCACTTGTGTCTCTGATTGTTAAGAAAGGAAGTCCCTGTGGGCCAGGAGTGTTCCCGAGCATGTGAATATCATGCGGCCACCCTCACTTGTGGCACCCAGGCTGGGTTCAGAAATTAGAGTTCCCTCCACACCCCAGAGGGCCGTGGCACCTGCAACCTCCTGGCCCTTTCCATCCAGCTGGCCTCGGGTGACTTGGATGCACGGGGACGCCTCTGCCTCCCTGGATGCATGGCGGTGCCTGGCACTTGGCAAATCCACCGTGCAAATCAGAGTTCGTGAGGCCGATGGCCTTTCTGATCTGGTTGCCATGGAAACGGCGGTCAGATGGAAGAGGATAAGGTAGGGAAGTTATAAAAAGAAGGCTGTCTTTAAAACCTCACCTCAGCTCCCCCGTCCTGTGTGCGTTTCCATGGAAGCAGAGCAATAACCACCTGGCAGATGCGTTCAGGCCTCAGCTTCTGGGCTGTCAATCAGGCAGCCCAGGCGTCTTCAGGAGCCTGGAATTTATCCCCCAAGAACTGGACTTTTACGAGCACAGTCACCACGCAGGACACTGAAAGCAACCACCTGAGCCCCAGGTGTGGCCTTCTTCCCACTCAGCCCAGCTCTGCCCTGCAGGGCCTGGGGCTTCTCCCTGCCAAGGGCCCTTGCCAGAGACCTGCAGTTGGGCACCCTGGGCTGGACCTCGACCTCCACACTGGCCCCCACCTGAGGCAGGCCCCCCTGGCTCCACTCCAGGCTCCTTCCTGCAGCCCTCATCTCTCCCTTTCTCTCTCTGCCTCTCTCTCCCTCCCACTCTCTTTTTCTGTCTCTCTCTCTTCCTTTTTTCTCTCCTTCTCCTTCTCTCACCCCTTCAAAGGATGTTTTACTTCTGCAGAGCTTTCTCTTTAATCACTAGTGACAATTTCCCACCTTCAAAATGCATTTCTTTTGTTAAAAATGCAAAGAGTTTTCACTGTTTTCAAAGCAGCTGAGAATTTTCTCACAGTAACACTTAACTGTCTCCAAGACAAAAGACTGCCATCTAGACTCGGTGAAACAAAAATGTTCGTGTTTTGTAGTGAAGAAACCATCCTCTGTGGCCTAGAAAATTCACACAATTACCTCCAGTTGTGGGGGCATTTCCCTCCTCATTGCCGGTGGCCTTTGCATCCTGAGATAAGGCTCCATGCAAAGGGTAATTGATTTCCACATTTTCTTTCCATTGGGCAGCCCTATCTCTCTTCAAACTTCAGTTCCATCCAAATTTATGCAAAATATCCATCACACATCAAGCGTTCATAGAATTCTCATAATAAGGTCTGGCTCAAATGGCTGAACTTTAAAAAATATGCCAGAATGTGCCAGGTGAAAAAACAAGGTGTCACATCTTTTGTTTGTCTTCCTGACGTGTGTCTCCTTCTCTTCCAATTTTCAAATTCATCTGGGGCAATCCTGAGGGTATTTCAAGGATTTCCCTGTCCGCACAGCACGACTCTGGAGACTCCAGGCCCCTCCCCTGCTGTCCCCTCCCCACAGAGGAGGCCGCTGGGGCCCGGGATGGGTAATGTGCTGCTCAGGGACAGAAAGCAAGAGAGTGAAGGCCCCTGCCTTCCCGTCACAGCACCTGAAACAGACTCATCACTAAACCAACCAGGAAGCCCAAGGGGAAAAGGTGCGCAGATACACTGTCAAACCCAGCCTGCGGTCAAGTTTCCTTTCTCCACAGTAGTTATTCAAAACCACCTAAGCCCCTAGAGCAGCAGCGGGAGACCTGCCTCTGGCTTCAGTCTGGGAGGAAGAGGCCCCTCCTGCCCCGGGGGGGCTCCTGAGTGCCGGACCCTCCCCGGGGGTCCTCCTGCTGACTGAGCTTGACGACGCCGCGTTGATTTCTCTTCACCTCTTCCTGAGCGCCTGACCTGCTGGCACCCGCTGCTCTGTAGCAGCGGCCCGTGGGGGTCCCCGTGGGCGTGGCACCATTAGACCAGGGTCCCACCCACTGTGCAATAGATTCACAGGCAGCTCTCCCTCCAGGACGACCGGCAGCCGCCGCCTCGGTCACTGAGGCCCCGGGCTCGGTCCAGCCGTGTGGTGCGTGACCCCCCGTGACACGCAGTCCTGCGAGCATCCTTGCCTTTCTGAAGCCGCCTCCTCCCGGAGTCCTGCTCAGCACTCTTACACAGGCGTTTCCATCCCGACTTTGCACACGTAAATCTCATCTCCCCAAGGCTTGGATGCCCCACCCAGTCGACCCACCCGCTGCCTGGGGCTCATCCATTCCCACGCATTCTCTCCCCTGTATCCTGGGTGCAGGTGAACTGGGTCTGCCTCCTGGTGGGCGGACAGTCTCACTCAGCAAATGGAGGCTGAGAGCCTCTCCCAGGTGCTTGGGACACGGAGGTGGCCTGGGTCATGTTTGCGTGTGTGGACACAGCATCGCCTTGCCCGTCCGCTCCGGCTGTGTCACTCAGTTCACAGTCCTGCTTGGGTGCCACCAGCCTCCTGGGATGCATCCCCCTCCTCCTAGCCCGCAGAAGAGGCCTGTGTGTCCATCAGTCTTTCTGAAGACCCACTGACCCCCAATGTAGACCGGGCTGCCCCTGCTCTGAGCTCCGTGTGTCCCAGACATTTCCATCATGGAAGCTCATCCCCAAACTGCAGCTGGTGTCCTCTCACCCTCCCCAGGGCCATGCCGTCCCAGAGGGCCGGGAACGAGTTTTACCCTCGATTTCCCTGGAATTTACACAAGGATGCTGGGAGCTCAGGAGGAAGGAGCAGGGTGTCCATGGAGAAGATGCCTTTTAATTTACAGATGTGACGTGTACTGTGAGATACACGCGAAGGCCATGCAGGAATCAAGCCTGAGACATTCACACAAAGTGGAGAGGATGCCAGCAACCGAAGAGCAGGTGCTCAGTGGGATGGGGGCTCAGCAAGGAAAGGCATGTCTCCTGCACTAGAAACTACCCAGCCCCCTGTCAAGGGCTCCCCCGTGATCCGGGGGCTCAGCAAGGAAAGGCACATCTCCTGCACTAGAAACTACCCGGTCCCCTGCCAAGGGCTCCTCCGTAATCGGCCACGCTTCAGCTCTAGGGTGGAACTTGACACCTGTCCCCACCACAAAGGTTTGTTCTCTTCTTACACTTTCCATCCTGGTGAACACCCCAGAAGCCACCCAAATTGCCCAAAAACCCTTCTCTCCTTATCCCAGATTTCCAGTCCATGAGTCCAATAAATTTCCCTAATGTCTATAGACCTCTATAGACAGCTGTGGCTCTGGGGACAGAGTGACTCTTTAAAATGCAGATCCGAGGCCAGGTGCAGTAGCTCATGCCTGTAATCCCAACACTTTGGGAGGCCAAGGCAGGTGGATAGCTTGAGCCCAGGAATTCAAGAGCAGCCTAGGTAACATGGTGAGACCCCCATCTCTACAAAAAATACCAAAACAATTAGCCAAGGGTGGTGGCACGTCTGTAGTCCCAGCTTCTCAGGAGGCTGAGGCAGGAGAATCCCTTGAGCCCGGGAAGTGAAGGTTTCAGTGAGACATCACACCACTGCACTCCAGCCCGAGCAACAGAGTGAGGCCCTGTCAGGAAAAAAAAACAAAACAAAACAACAACAACAACAACAAAATATATCCAATCATCCCAGCAGCAAATTTGTATCCATTAGGGTCTGTGGCAGGCAACCTCAATTCTTGCCTCCTCAGAAGAAAGAATTCGCCTGAGGGGCATAAGGCAGAAGAAGAGACCGAGGCAAGTTTTAGAGCAGGAGTGAGAGTTTATTTAAAATCTTCAGAGCAGAAATGAGGGGAAGGAAAGTATATTTGGAAGAGGCCCAAGCCTCTTCCAAAGGACGGGTGCGTGGTTTGACCTGTGACTTGGGGTTTTATCCATTGTCATGCTTCCAGGGCCCCACGTTCCTTCCCCCATGATTCTTCGCTTGGAGTGGGCTGTCCACATGTGCACGCCTGAGCCCACTAGCCCAGTTCCTGAGATCCTATCGGGAAGCTGCTGATCACCAGTCCCAAGCATTTCTATCTATTGGGAGATGCTTTTTCCTGGTGCCGGCTGTGACCAACTATTACCGTAGAGAGACAGTGTGACGGCTGCCTGACAGCCACCTGATGGCACCCGACACTCCTGCTGTGTGTGGGAGCCCTCTCCTGCCCTGTTCATGCCTCCTCAAGTCAGTGTGAGGAGCGTGGCCCTGCCCCCACCCTGCAGATCCCCAGGCAGGGCCCTCCCATCGCTAAAATTACTCAATAAATCACTTATTAATACTTAACACAGGCAAAAAGTGATTGCACAGAGCGATCAAGAGGTTGTGCCGGACCGATTTCCTTTTCAGATGTTTCTAGATTGTGAGACCAGGAGGCTGCTGGGCCATGGCCACCATCTTTCTTGAAGGCATGACATTTCTCTCCTCTAACTGGTCCTTCTCCCAGCATACCTCCAAGTCCCCAGCATGGTGAGGAAGACTCTCCTGGCCCGGTGTCCACTTGGGTACACCCCCACGGTCCAGAGCTCGTCACACCTGGCTGAACCCCGAGCCGCATGGCACTCGCCCCTATGGCCCAGACCTCCTCACACCTGGCTGACCCCTGAGCCGCGTGGCCCTCGCCCCTATGGCACAGAGCTCGTCACACCTGGCTGACCCCTGAGCCGCATGGCCCTTGGTCTCTGCTTGGGCAGTTCCTCCTGTGGCCACCCTTGCCCCTCATGCATGGTCAGCTGGAGAAAAGTATTCCCTGGGTGATGCCACAGCCATAGCACCTCCTCCTGAGACCCTACACACGGCCATTGTGCTTAGCATCAACATGAGTTTGCTGTAAAGAAGCAGCAAGACAAGCCCTTCTCGTGTGGGTGCCACGTCCCTCTCATCTCAGCCGTCTCACTGGCACTCAGTAGAGGCTCAATGTGCTTGTTGAACTCTTAGACTTTAGGGTCTCCTCTGAGGGCAAGATGGTATAGTGTGGATTGAATTATAGCATAAATAAACTTGATGTGTAAGTAGTTAAATGACCACAACCAAAAATTAAAGTACTTTTTTGGTCAAATGACGGTACCCAGAGACCGCTGTTCATAGGAAGGGGGATGTGGAGGGTGAGACAAGGTTCTCTCCTTGGTCCTGTGTTATTCAATGTCTAACATGTGTACACGGCCATAAATTCGTGAAGGCACAGGGACCTGGGAAGCACACATAAAGTAGCAAATATCAGAATTAGGATGCAAAAGTATTTCACCAAATTACAATAATATAAGCAACTAAGCAACATAAAGTTTAACAAGAAATTATACAGGCCAGGCATGGTGGCTCATGCCTATAATCCCAGCACTTTGGGAGGCCAAGGCGGGAGGATCACCTGAGGTCAGGAGTTCAAGACCAGCCTGACCAACATGGAGAAACACTGTCTTTACTAAAAATACAAAAAAATTAGCCAGGCATGGTGGCGTATGCCTGTAATCCCAGCCACCCACAAGGCTGAGGCAGGAGAAGCGCTTGAACCTGGGAGGCAGAGGTTGCGGTAAGCCGAGACCTCGCCATTGCACTCCAGCCTGGGCAACAAGAGCGAAACTCCATCTCAAAAAAAAAAAAATTGTACAAAGGTCTGCTCTTAGTTTTACTCCCGGCCCCCCACCAAATAAAACTGAAGAAGGGCAATTAGCTGCCGTCCCATAGTGGACACACGGAGACAGAGTTCTACTTGCTCTGTGGAGCTTCAGAAGGAGAACGGTGGGAAGGTTTTACAAGGAGAATGCTGGTACTAACAGAAGAAAACCTCTCTGGAGTGTTCTGCGGAATGAAATCCTTTGTGGAATCGTGAGTTTCCATTCTTTTGAGGTTGAAAAAACCACCCCTGTGGGATCATTCCAGTAGGTTGCCAGGCTGTTAAGAAATGGGAGGTGTTTTTTGGGTTTGTTTTTGTTTTTTTTAGACGGAGTCTCACTCTGTTGCCCAGGCTGGAGTGCAGTGGCGCCATCTTGGCTCACTGCAAGCTCCGCCTCCCGGGTTCACGCCATTCTCCTGCCTCAGCCTCCCGAATAGCTGAGACTACAGGCACCTGCCACCATGCCCGGCTAATTTTTGTATTTTTAGTAGAGACGGGGTTTCACCGTGTTAGCCAGGATGGTCTCGATCTCCTGACTTTGTGATCCACCCGCCTCAGCCTCCCAAAGTGCTGGGATTAGCCTCCCAAAGTGCTGGGATTATAGGCGTGAGCCACCGCCCCTGGCCAGGAGGTGTTTTTATAGGTTCTCTTTTCTCTGGTTCTTACAGGAAATTGATGCCATAGATTTTTATCTATTTTTACATCTAATGATCATTTACACGTTACACTACATGAGTCATAAAATTTGCTAAAAATTGGTGTTCTTGAGTTAATAAAGACTGAAATTATGCATTTACAGTAAGTTCTGGCTGTGAAAGGGCTCCCAGAATTCCTGCAGTCAGGGGAAGAGCCCTTGTTATTTTGAGTTAGTCATGGTTTTGAGTTGCCAATTTTCATTTTGCTAAGTATAAAGTTCTGTTAATTTGACATTTTCAGCGATTTCGTGGGATGCCATTGTTAGCCCCACAGGGCCTACAGTGCAGAGTGATGTGTATTTGCATCAGCAGCATCTTAGCGAAGGATATGCTGTGCGTGGATATGGAAAGACGTGTGTACTGCAGTTGGACTAGGAGTAGGTGATACACATTTTGATAAAGTACATAAGCACATCATGACCTCGAAGGCACTTGTATTGAAAACTTATTTTTTAATCTGACTGATTTTGCTACAGCTGAGCAGAAATGGGTGTGTAAGTGGCTAGGGGAATCATTTGCCCAGGACCATGGCTAGGAAGGTGTGAGACGGGATGGACGCAGCTGGGAGAGGGTCAGGTCAGATGACCCTGGGAGAGGGTCAGGCTGGATGACCTTGGAAGGTCGCTCCAGGGCCGGGAGTCTCCAGTTCTCTGTTGTTCCCTTGACAAAGTCCAGCCTACCCGGGCTCCCAGGCACGCCGGCCTCATGCCCCCTGGAATGACACTTTGCTTCATCCAAACTGAACTCCCATCATTCCCTAGGAGAGCCCTGTTTATTCTTGTCTCCAAGACCTGATTGTTTTTTCCATCTGGTTGGATTCATTCTATGATTTTGAAATCCACTTCCCCTGTGCAATGCACCTGCCATGGAGCCCTTTTACCATCTCTCTAGCAGTTGTCATCCTTTTGTGGATTTTCATAGCACTTTACAGATTCCTCTCATGTTACCTTTTTCTAGTATCACAGCTCCAGGTGTTACTGGCTCCTCTTAGCCCACAGGTGCCTTGAGGATAAAGCACTGTTTTCTTTTTTGTTCTCTCCTCAGAAGGCACCAGTCATCAATTACGACAACTAACATCAAATCAACCAATTCAATAAACTGATTTCTGGATGGTTGAGACAATTATTCTCCCACCAATCTATTCTAGAGGTTTTCATAATTTGGGACTTCTCAAGAACTTGTGTAAAAGTGTAAAAGTTTGGTATTAAGAATGTGATAATTATCATCAGCTCCAGTGAAATCTGGAGAATCCAACGGTTTTCAATTTTTTTTCACTTTTTCAGTACAAATTCTAAGATCAGAATACTGAAAAAGAAATCCAAATAGGGAAGAGAATAAAGACGGTGGACTTAGAGATGTGACTCCTAAGTATCATCTGCCAGCTTTGTGTTTGCCAATAAAGGGAAGGCCGTGACCTCCCGGAGCCGTGCGCAGACCGCGGTGCTTTGCAGGGGGCACTGGGGAGGTGCTGCTCTGTTAGTTCTGCTGTAGAAACATCCACATTAAACCCAGTCCAACGTTCCCATCTCTAATAGAAACGACTCTTTCAGTGTCTGTGATCAGCACTTTATGCAGAAAGAGAAGAAATGGATGCATCTGGGGGCCGTTTCCAATTCCTAGAGGGCAATCTGAACAGACTGGGTAGCGAGAAAGCGTTGCTGTGTTGGAAAGAACACGTGGTAGCAATCAGGGGACCCCATCAGCCCAGCGGGGCCACTTGGGCAAGACACCCCGACGTTCTAAGCTGCAGTGTTCTCATGTGCAAAATAACAAAAGTGTTGGTGTGGATCCTGCAGGCTTCTTCAAGCTTTCAAATTCAACAATTCAAGAAAGTACAAGCTGTGTCCCACTTGGGCACGGAGGTTTGCCACTCACCATCACCTCCACACCTGTTCCGTGGCAGCTTTGCCATGCACGCCCCGTCGCTTCCGCAGGCGAAAGGGAAAGGTAGCCGGGGGTCTGAGTCAGAAGAAGGAAGGCACCACTTGTCCTTGGACCAGAATGGGTTGGACAGCGCTGCTGCTTGCTGGGGGAGCCCCCAGCCCCGACTGCCAAAACCAGACTTTGGCAGACCTAGAGGCTTCTCCAGCACCAGCCACTGCCTGCCGCCTTCTCTGTTGGAGAGAATTTGGATAGCAGCGCTGGGGGATTCCGATGCCAGAATAACACTGTGACCTGTGAGATAGCCACGAAGCTGCACCACAGCCGGATCTGTGAGTGGGATGAGTTGGACAAAAGCGCATCTTGGGCCACACTAGGTAGCATCTCCCCGTTGACGCCACACTACCAGGGAGCAGGAGTGTTTCCCAAAGAGAGAAGGCCATTCTCATCAGGGACCCGGACTAACAGGCCCAGAGTGTGGAGACTGCTTTCCCAGAGAGCCCCCTTGGCCTCAGGCAGCCAGCAACACCCCACCCTGGGCCTCCCTCCCAAAGAATCCTTCCATGGCCAACCAAGAGGCAACCGGGCTTGGCTGGGTTTTACATTTTCAGGTATTTTTCTTTTTCTTTTTAGTCTCACAAATATTTATATGTTTAAGTAATAATATTATTTTAGGGGAGAAACACAGAAAATAAGGACAGGTTGATCCTGACAATGTCATATAGATGACATATTAAAAACAACATATTGGCTGAGAAGCCCCTATTATAAATAGCTGGCACAGAAGCTCCACGCATTAGCCGGCTAGACTTTTGATTCCACTATAATTATAGGAAGAACGTTTCAATCCCTGCGGTGGGGGAGCATTTAGAATTGTAGCAGAGGTAGTAAATTACGGGTCCTCAATGTCCTCGTCAGACAGACGGCTTTCGTTTCAGGAAGAGGGACACAGCGCTATGTCAGAGCCAGTCTCCCCTGGTGAGCTTAATGTGTTCGACTCAAAAGCACAGGATGGAATAACGGAAGTGGTAGGGGATTTTACAATCCACCAGCATCAACATTTATTTTTATTTTCCCAGAGCAGGGTGTGCCGGCCCTGCCTGGGGAATGCTTACATTATTCACTTTGATTCTGCCTTCCACGCCCCCAGGAGCAAAGTCGACCAGTTAATAGTCCGTGTGTGCTGGTTTTGCTGGGCACAGTGTCAGCGGTGGCTTCAGTCCTCGCTCGACAGCAGGTGCCTTTGGATTTGTCAACTTGCCCAGACCCTGAGTCTCCATCCTGAGCCAGATGTGGCTTCATGCATCAACACAGCCCAGAAATAACGCGGTTGGAGATGCTTTCGGGTTTGCTTTCCAACCTCAGCCTAATCTTGAAGAAACTGAGAAGGAGATGGGGAGGGAGAAGGGTTTCGCATGAAGCCGTGCAGTGGCTTAATTAGCTCTTGAAAACCCAACTGGAATTTTTCTTGGGTTCTGCCAGAGAGATGTTTGCTTTGAAGATGGGGGCTTGAAGAACAGCGATGCCTTTTCTCACAAATGATCTCCCTGAATCTTGTGCATTTCTCCAATTGGTAGAGAAGAGCTAAACCGATGAGCAGTTACAGTATTAAAGATAGAAACAGAGTGACTGCCATGCTCACATAGAAAGCATCGCAATGTTTAGACAGTGGCTATAAACCAAGGAGTCTCTCTCCTGCTTTACGAGAATGGATCAAAGTGTGGCAGGAAAGGGGAGAGAAAGCGAGAGAGAGAGAGAGAGATGCTGTAAATAGACCGGAAACCAGAATACGGAGTCCCCTGCTGAAGGCCGGTCCTTCAGAATGGCGCCCTGAATCCTGTCTCCACCACTCACCACGTTCCTTCCTCTCCATAGAACTCTCCAACCACCCTGAAGTCAACACGCAGGGCTGTGTCTCAGTTTACCTTCCCTGGGTTCCAGTTTACATTAAAGTAGACTCTGTCCCGAAGACCCAGGCGGCTTCTGATAAGCAGTGTCACATCCCATGTCACGGGGAACGTGCTCTGTGGTTCCAGGTGCCACAGTCTTCCATAGAGAAATTCAAACTTGATTTGGGGCTTTCTGGGGATCCAACAACAGAAAAGTCTACTGAATTCCAAGGGTGGGAATTAGTCCCCACGGCAGAGCCTTTGGTCGCAATCAACCACCTCCAGTGTTCCTGAGAGGGGCCCCTCCTCTCTCATAGGGTGAGGCGGGCCTGAATCCACCCTGTGCTGTGTGTCCGCCTAGCCACTAGGTGAGGTTCCCACCCCAGGATTCCCAGAGAAAGAAACGTTTTTCATCCCCCACCATGTGTGCGGCCGTCGCAAGGACCTCCGTGTGCTCAGAGAGCTGCCCACATCCTGGAGATACTTGGATGGGGCCTTGTGAAGACCCTCAGGGAGACCATCTCTCTTTGTGCTACTCAAATTTCCCTAACATGCAAGGGGCCAGGAGGGAGGAGAAGCACCGTCTTTGCCCGGGTTTTCATTCATCAGAAGCCATCAGCAGCCTGTTATCACGAGGAGCCTGAACTTCAGCCGTGGCCAAGGTCCAGGAAACAACAGGGCCAGAGGCCAGGGAAGCCAGAAGATGTGGTGTCCGAGGCCAGCTTCATGTCACCCATGGGCTCTCTGCAGGGAGCTTTGGTGTAAGAACAAGGGCAGAGTTGTGGAGTCAGCAGTGGACTACGGGTTTAACCCGATGGACGGGAGGTCTTGCCTGGGTCGTGTTTAGCTGCTCCCATTGTTGATGGCAACTGAGAGCCTTCGGTTCTTGTCTTCTTAGTTTAAAAGAATTTAAAGAGACACACAGCAGTAGAAAGCAGTTAAGAATTTAAAGAGACACACAGAAGTAGAAAGCAGTTTATTGCAACAGAGAAAGAACCCTCTGCAAACTAAATGCAAAAGCAAAAGTACACTCTGAAAGACGAGTCAGCGCGGCTGATGGAGAGTGAGTCAGCCAGGACCGCCCGAGGGAGGCTCTAGCTCTGGGGGCCCCACACCACTCTTCGGGCGGGGGTGGGAGAGGTGTTGCTGGTACGCACATTCTGGGTGGCCCTCTGGGTGCACATGCAGTAGCTGTCCATGCTTGTCCATACATCACGTGCCTCATTAGCATCTTAAACCTCCACCCAAGTTGCGTTTTTCACTATTCTCATGAGCAAAGGTCAGTCTGAGGACAGGTAAAGTCAAAAGGCACACTCTCTACAGGGGAATTGCCCTGCCAGAGGCAGCTTTGCTTGAGTGAGCTGGTCTACAGGGCGATTCTGGGGCTCACTGTGTCGGCACTGCGGTCGTCACGGTCCCCAAGGACACAGTGACGTCCCCGACCCCCTGGTGCCTCGGAGGGGCAGGCAGCTGCAAGCACTCCTTCGATGTTTTCCAACTAAGAGAAGCCCTGGCTGCTTCCTTCACCTTGGCTGAGGTTTCACTGAGGTATCGTTAACACACAGGAAAATTCAGTCCTTTGGTGCACGGTGCTGGGTTTTGACAAGCACACATGGCTGAAAAGCACCATCAAATGTAAAATAGGTCCACCACCTGGAACCCTCTCGCACCCTCTGTGGCCCATTCCTGTTCCCACCCCAGCCTCTACAGACCATGGCTTCACCTCCCGACCCTGTAACTTTGCCATTTTGAGAAGGACACATAAACGGAGCCGTCCTCAGTCGCCTGAGCCCGTGCCTGTCACCGAGCAGGACGTGTCTTGAGTTTCACTGTCGGCAGCTCCTTCCTGGGCATGGCTGGGTCGTGTTTCATCCCAGGGAGGAGCCGTGTTAACTCCTCCATTCTCCTGATAGGAAAACATGTCACTGTTTCCAGTTCAGGGTGACGATGAACCAAGCCACTGTGGGCAGTCCCGTGTGGGTCTTGGAGGGGGTGTGAGCGTCCTCACCCTGCGGGAGGTGACTGAGGCTGGTGTCACCGGGGCCTCCGCCGAGTGTGTGTCCACCCTCTTCTCCAGTGCACTGCCCGCTGTGACTGCCCCCAGTGCGTGTGTGGGGGAGTGTGTGTCCACCCTCTTCTCCAGCACGCTGCCCGCTGTGACTGCCCCCAGCGCGTGTGTGGGGGAGTGTGTGTCCACCCTCTTCTCCAGTGCACTGCCCGCTGTGACTGCCCCCAGCGCGTGTGTGGGGGAGTGTGTGTCCACCCTCTTCTCCAGCGTGCTGCCCGCTGTGACTGCCCCCAGCGCGTGTGTGGGGGAGTGTGTGTCCACCCTCTTCTCCAGTGCACTGCCCGCTGTGACTGCCCCCAGCGCGTGTGTGGGGGAGTGTGTGTCCACCCTCTTCTCCGGCGCGCTGCCTGCTGTGACTGCCCCCAGCACGTGTGTGGGGGAGTGTGTGTCCACCCTCTTCTCCGGTGCACTGCCCGCTGTGACTGGCCCCCGCGCGTGTGTGGGGGAGTGTGTGTCCACCCTCTTCTCCAGCACGCTGCCCGCTGTGACTGGCCCCCGCGCGTGTGTGGGGGAGTGTGTGTCCACCCTCTTCTCCGGCGCGCTGCCTGCTGTGACTGTCCCCAGCGCGTGTGTGGGGGAGTGTGTGTCCACCCTCTTCTCCGGCGCACTGCCCGCTGTGACTGTCCCCAGCGCGTGTGTGGGGGAGTGTGTGTCCACCCTCTTCTCCGGCGCACTGCCCGCTGTGACTGCCCCCCGCGCGTGTGTGGGGGAGTGTGTGTCCACCCTCTTCTCCGGCACACTGCCCGCTGTGACTGCCCCCAGCGCATGTGTGTGGCGGTCCTGGCCCCTCCACATCCTTGTCAGCATTCACTGTCATCAGCTTCTCTGTGGTTGTTTTATTGCAGCCACTCTCGCAGGTGTGTCCAGGCGTCTTATGGGGGTTTGCGTTTGCGCTTTCCTAATGACTGATGGTGCTGGCTGTCCTTTGTGTTCTTCTGTCTCTCATATGTCTTCTTCGGCAAAGTGTCTGCTCAAATCCCTTTACCATTTTTTGTTGGGTTATTTATCCTCTTAATTTTGAATTTTGAGAGTGCTTTCCCTATTCTGGATACTGGTCCAGCATTGGCTGTGTGATTTGCAAATATTTTCTCCCTGTCTGTGGCTTCTCTTTTCATTCTTAGTGCATTTCAAAGAGCACAAGTTCTTAGTAAGGCCCAAACTATTTAAGTTGAATCTTAAGCTACGCTTGTGCCAGAAATCCTTTCAGTAGCACAAGTTGAGACAGAATCATGTCTGGGTCTATTATGAAAAATAAAATAGAGCTTTTGTTTGTTGTACACACTAGAAAAAATGAAGGTATTTTATTTATGAGACGTAAATAGACTCTCATTCTGAGATGAATACGCGCGCTTCTTAAGCCCGGGTTAACCACTTTAGCGGAAAAGCTGACGGCATCAAACCTGCTGCCTCTTCTACCCGTGTCTGCATCTGCATCATGGACCAGGACACGCTCCTCTTTGCCAACGACACACGGAGGTTTCTGAGCAGGGACCAGGGACACAGGAGGGCGGGAGGCAGCTTCATCAGCGAGGGCCACACGCAGGGATTCTGTGTGACAAGTGCTGGAATAGCGGCCTCCACCAAATGCTGTGAACGCCCCAGAGAGGAAACACTGCTGAACACCACAGGCATCTGCCCCCACACACCACCCAGGCACCGTGGGCTGACTTCCTGTGCCCCCGCTGCAGCCCCCAATCCCACTCATCACGTGGAGAGCACGTCCTTCTCAATGGCCCACAAACCCACCATGACCCTGGTTACTATGCTCCGCTCACTTAGGCATCCCTAAATGGACACACATCCCACCTGCCCCACCAGCTGCGTCCCACCCCACCCAACCCCAGAAACGTACTTTCCCTACTGCATCCGGAGTGGAGGACGTGTTTTGAGGCTGTTTCTTGTTTTAAATAACATTTCTATTTATCAGTTATCTCCTTCACAATGGTATATAAATGCCTATGCCTACACTCATGCACATACATTCACATACACATGCATACACACATGTACATACACACATGCACACTACACACAGACACACACATGTACATACACATGCACACACGTGCACACATAAACACATGCACACACATGCATACATACACACAGGCACATACACACATGCACATACAGTCATGCACATACACACAGGCACACACACATGCACACATACACACAGGCACATACACTCATGTACATACACACAGGCACATACACTCATGTACATACACACAGGCACATACACACATGCACATACACTCATGTACATACACACAGGCACATACACACAGGCACATACACTCATGTACATACACACAGGCACATACAGGCACACTACACTCATGCACACGCCCTAACTGGGCAACTCTCAAGCCCCCAGCCTCATCCCATTCTGAAAGTCACCATCATTGCCTGGCTGTCTTTGGTTAGGACGCAGCCCTGGCGGCAGGTAGAGGCTTGTGTGGAGTACCTTTTGTCACAGGCTGTAATAATTTGCTTTTTGCCACTATTTTGCCTCTCCCCTTGAAGCTCTCTTTCACTAAAGGGCTTGCTGGGGACACTTGGCCAAGAGAACACACACACAGGTGACATAAGGGCTTCAACAGTGGAGCTGGCAGAGCCCTGAGCTGTGGCCGAGGCAGGCTCTGGCTGAGGGTTGCTGCTGGGTGCTCAGGGGGCCTGGGGGTGGTGGGAAGTGGGCAGGGCTGAGCGGGGAATGGCTATATCCTGCCAAGAGGGGCAGAGAAGCTGAACACACACCGTGAGCATTTTGCTTGGGAAAATAGAACCTGATGGCAAAGTAATTATTAAAACAACTTTTAATAATTAACAACTAAAATATTTTTTTGAGATGGAGTCTCACTCTGTTGCCCAGGCTGGAGTGCAGTGGTGTGATCTCAGCTCATTGCAACCTCCGCCTCCCCAGTTCAAGCGATTCTCCTGCCTCAGCCTCCCCGGTAGCTGAAATCACAGGTGCATGCCACCACGCCTGGCTAATTTTTTCATATTTTTAGTAGAGAGGGTGTTTCACCATGTTGGCCAGGATGGTCTTAAACTCCTGGTCTCAGGTGATGTGCCCGCCTCGGCCTCCCAAAGTGCTGGGATTTCAGGCATGAACCACTGCACCTGGCCTAAAAACAACTTTAAAATCATCTGTGATGCTTCAAGAAAAAAAGGAAAAAAAAAAGATTAAGAAACTCACCTGGCAGCTTAATTGGGACAATCATGTAAGGTCTACCAGAGGCCAGGTAATGCACAAGAGATCAATATCATTAAAGAATCCCTCTGGAAAATGTGCTTTTTCTGACCAGGGCAAATTTCTTTAAAAAAAAAAATATATATGCACAGGGAAAGAATTAGATAAATTGCCCTTGAAATTTCTCCATTCTCATTTGGTGAGAAATAAGTCATCCAAGTCAATGATAAAAGGATTACGAGTCAGATTCTCATTTCCTCACCCGGGAAGGGCTATAATTACAGTGACCATATTTTCTGAACCAAACATCAGGACTGCAGGCCTGACAAGTACACGTGTTCTGATGAAGACAATAGGACAAGTTCTCCTAAATGGGAGATGACCTGCAAGAGCCAGAGCCATAATGAGTGACTCTGACACAGAAATAATTCGGTCTGGGGCGTTTGTCATGATGTCATTGATATGGCACTTCTTCTGGAGGTTCGAAGTGTCACGTTGTTGCTGAAATGATTTCTTCTGTTGCTGTCCCTGGCGTGCAGCAGATACTGATTTTAAGGAAGTTGATTGCGTTGACTACTTTTCTCATCTGAGTAGACAATCAAAAACAACAGAATATATAATGTCCAAATTAACATTTAAATTTAGCCACAAAACCTGTCACGGTATTGCACATAAAATTGTTTTTTTTAACTTTTAAGTTCAGGGGTCCATGTGCAGGTTTGTTACGCAGGTAAACTCAGGTCACAGGCAGGTTCGTAACGCAGGTAAACTCAGGTCACAGGCAGGTTCGTTACACAGGTAAACTCAGGTCACAGGCAGGTTTGCTACACAGGTAAACTCAGGTCACAGACAGGTTTGCTACACAGGTAAACTCAGGTCACAGGCAGGTTTGTTACGCAGGTAAACTCAGGTCACAGGCAGGTTTGCTACACAGGTAAATTCAGGTCACAGGCAGGTTTGTTACACAGGTAAACTCAGGTCACAGGCAGGTTCGTTACACAGGTAAACTCAGGTCACAGGCAGGTTTGCTACGCAGGTAAACTCAGGTCACAGGCAGGTTCGTAACGCAGGTAAACTCAGGTCACAGGCAGGTTCGTTACGCAGGTAAACTCAGGTCACAGGCAGGTTCGTTACGCAGGTAAACTCAGGTCACAGGCAGGTTCGTAACGCAGGTAAACTCAGGTCACAGGCAGGTTCGTTACGCAGGTAAACTCAGGTCACAGGCAGGTTTGTTACGCAGGTAAATTCAGGTCACAGGCAGGTTTGTTACACAGGTAAACTCAGGTCACAGGCAGGTTCGTTACACAGGTAAACTCAGGTCACAGGCAGGTTTGTTATGCAGGTAAACTCAGGTCACAGGCAGGTTCGTTACACAGGTAAACTCAGGTCACAGGCAGGTTTGTTACGCAGGTAAACTCAGGTCACAGGCAGGTTCGTTACGCAGGTAAATTCAGGTCACAGGCAGGTTTGTTACACAGGTAAACTCAGGTCACAGGCAGGTTCGTTACACAGGTAAACTCAGGTCACAGGCAGGTTCGTAACGCAGGTAAACTCAGGTCACAGGCAGGTTCGTTACGCAGGTAAACTCAGGTCACAGGCAGGTTTGCTACACAGGTAAACTCAGGTCACAGGCAGGTTTGTTACGCAGGTAAACTCAGGTCACAGGCAGGTTTGCTACACAGGTAAACTCAGGTCACAGGCAGGTTCGTAACGCAGGTAAACTCAGGTCACAGGCAGGTTTGCTGCACAGATTATGTCAGCCAGGTGTTAAGCCTCATGCACATTCGTTATTTTTCCTGATCCTCTCCCTCCTCCCGCCTCCACCCTCCAACAACCCCAGTGTGTGTTGTTCCCCTCTCTGAGTCCATGTGGCTTCATCATTCTTTTTTTTTGAGACAGAGTTTCAATCTTGTCACCCAGGCTGGAGTGTAATGGCCCAATCCGGCTCAGTGCAAACTCAGCCTCCTGGATTCAAGTCATTCTCCTGCCTCACCCTCCCGAGTACCTGGGATTACAGGCATGTGCCACACGCCCAGCTAATTTTGTATTTTTAGTAGAGACGGGGTTTGGCCATGTTGGCCGGGCTGGTCTCAAACTCCTGACCTCAGGTGATCCACCCCCCCTTGGCCTCCCAAAATGCTGAGATTACAGGCACAAGCCACTGCGCCTGGCCCTTGTGTCCTCACCATTTAGCTCTCACTTGTGAGAACATGAGGTGTTTGGTTTTCTGACCCCATGTTAATTTGCTAAGGAGAATGGCTCCAGCTCCATCCATGTCCCAGCAAAGGACATGATCTCAGTTTTGTTTAGGGCTGCATAGTACGCCATGGTGTATATGTACCACATGTTCCGTATCCAGTCTGTCGTTGATGGACATTTATGTTGATTCCATGTCTTGCTATTGTGAGTAGTGCTGCAGTGAACATACACGTGCGTACGTCTTTATGATAGATGATTTATACTCCTTTGGGTATATAATTAATAATGAGATTGCTGGGTCAAATGGTTCTTTGAGGAATTACCACACTGCTTTCCACAATGGTTGAGCTAATTTGCACTCCCACCCACAGTGTTTAAATGTTCCTTTTTCTCCACAACCTCACCAGCATCTGTTATTTTTTGACTTTTTAATAATAGCCATTCTGACTTGTGTGAGATGGTACCTCATTACAGTTTTTATTTGCATTTCTCTAATGATCAGTGATGTTGAGCTTTTTTTCATATGATTGTTGCCTGCATAAGTGTCTTCTTTTGAAAAGTACCTTTTTAAATATGTTTGTTCTTTGAGTGTTTGTTCCGTCGAGTGTTTGTTCCGTCACACTTGTAGCAAATCTAGTGTTAAACTTAGAAATGTACACATGAGGAAAAAACTACGTTCGCTGCTGGATGGGTCTTCATTTTACAGAAGCCTTCCCCATGAGGTTCATGTAGGTGGCTACCGCCCTCGTTATTTAAGAACTAATTGATTTTTAGCTCCTGGAGTGAGGGGCAGGCAGAAAAATGTAAAAGCAAAGAGGCCAGACCAGAGGGCACCGTGGAAGCCATAGCGGTGGACCCCCAAGTGGAGAAGGAAGAAGGGGTCTGCGGGGCCTCCCTCTGCATAGGTGAGCCTCTCCCAGGATAGGGCTAAGAGGGGCATTGTCAGTTCTTGAGCAGGGCTTCTTGACTTTCTTTTTTTCATTGTTTTTAGTGATCAATAAAACTTATAATATATATTAAAATGCAAAGAAGCTTAATTTCATAGAAAAGCCTCAATTGTTTCATCAGAGAAAGAGAAGCTGTGAGACCCCAAGTTTTCACTCTCAAGTGGGACCTTTCCTTCTTCTCCTGGCAGCTCATTAGGGCCAGGAGATTGACAGCAACTGCAAGCTTCAGAAGATCCTATTTTGCAGATGGGAAGTATTCGCAAGAAATTTAAATGTGGGTGCACGCTGTTCTTCCTGCGGAGACCTCCAGAGGTTCAGACAGATGGACACGTGCCTAGAGAGGGTTCACCACAGTGACACCTCCATTGAGAGAGGTTTGTTTGGCCTGAGTGTGACGATGCGTCTGGGAAAAGAACCAAAAGTCACATGAGTGTCCATCACCTGCGACTTTTCTAAAGAGCGTTTGGGGAACTTCGATATTTAAAGGGGAAAGAGCAGGAGAGAAAGGAGGGAGGGTAAGCAATGAGGCAAATGGTTACGTTCTTGGAGGCTTTGATGTGAATCTACATTTTACGTGCAAAGAGAAGGGGTGCAGGAAAAGGCCAATGATGCATTCGCCTCGGGTTGGGTGGAGGGATGATTTTTGTTCCAGTCTTTGCCCTCTACCTATGAAGACGAGCTGGTCATTGACATTGTCAGGGTGAGATTCCACAGAACTCAGTCTTAGGGCTAGAAACAGGGGGATATCTATCCTGAAAGGCTGAGGGATTTAGGAGTTCACCAGGAATTTCGTTGTGAGCAGTTTGTGAGGGAGGCCATCAGGGAGCTATGTGGCCTTCTGTCACTGTGGGAACCTGGCTTAGAGATGAGGCTGTGGAATTGTAGCTCTGTGTCCAGGAACAAAAGGAAAGCAGTATTGCGTGGCTCAGCTCTGAAGCGTAACTTTCTTTTTGGCAGAGTGAGTGTGGGGTCCCAAGATTCCATTTTATTTCCCGAGTCATAGCAGAGACTCCTAAGCTGCAGCAATACGCTTTTATGTGTGTGGGTTAATGGGGTGCACCTTCCACCCACAGCTGGGAGAAGCCTGGCCCCAGGAGCATCAGAAGACAAAGACCCTGAGATGAGAAGGCACCTTAAAGTGAGGATGGCTTGTCCCAGCGAACTCGGAACCCTCCTGGAATCAGGGTTAGAGGTGGACACTGGTGTGTCTCAATGGTCGTGTCCAGCGCCCTGGCCAGCCCTCATGCTCACCACTCCTCTGCAGCAAGCTGAGCCTTATGTCTAAATTTATTTCTTATTCCAGTTGTCCAGAAAATTATTCTCTGAAGATTTCCTTTGTAGTTTTGAGTGGTTTTATTTTGTTCAGGCAAAATGTATCATTTAGGATGAAAACCTGTCCCAGGAGATTGTGCCATGTCATCTCTTTCCAAGAAAAGAAATTGATCTTTCTGCCAGCACAGTGGTTCACACCTGTAATCCCAGCACTTTGGGAGGCCGAGGCGGGCAGAGATGGTGAAACCCCCGTCTCTACTAAAAATACAAAAAATTAGCCAGGCGTGGTGGCGCTTGCCTGTAATCTCAGCTACTCGGGAGGTTGAGGCAGGAGAATCGCTTGAACCTGGGATGGGGAGGCTGCAGTGAGCCAAGATCGTGCCATTGCGCTCCAGCCCCAGCAACAGTGCGAGACTCTGTCTCAAAAGAAAAACACAAATTGATCTTTCTCGGGCAGTCAGAAGATCCTATTTTCTTACAGAAGTCTCAACTATTTATTTTACCCAAAGTAAAAGAGAAATATGTTTAAGGGGAAAGGGCAAGAAAGGGCCACTAGTGACCCTTTTTACCACGCCCCGCGCGTCTCGAGCACACCTTGATGATTAATTCCATCAACCTTCAAGTCCCCAAAATGGTCCCTTGCAGGATCGTTGCTGAGGCAGAGCTGGGTTCACGAGACCCCCTGGAGAGAGGTGGGGGTTGCAGCCTGGCAAGAGCTAAGAGCAGAAAATTAGTGTGGGGTGTTCATAGGTTTTGGGCCGGGGACGGGAGGCATGAGAGCCAAGAACTGGCTTGTATGGAGCAAAGTTAATGAGGAAACTTTAGGTTGGTAGGAAGAGCAGACGTCTTCCGGGCAGGAGCCTCCAGGAGCCGTTGCTGGTGTTGAGAAGGAAGTGACTTGGTTGGTTGGTTCCTAGGCTTAGCTCTCACGGGCAGGTACTTCCTGGAGAAATCAGGGAAGATCCTTTTGCTGGTCCCAGTATTGTTTAACACAGGGACAAGGAATTACAGTGGTTTCCGTTCTTACTAGTAGATAACGTCTAAAAAGTTTTCTAAGCTTTTTCCCTCGCCGGGTCCCTAGGTGAAACTAGATAAAGAGAGTAAGTTTCATTGATCTTAAATCTTTAATTATGCATGAAATGATGTATTGAGTTTAGCTTAGTTAATGTGCCTGGAAAAGCATACAAATAATTATAGCCATATGATCTATTCTGAATGTGCTATTATAAGTGAAACTTTTCAACCACTCTTCTATGCATGAGTTCGCCAAGTTCTGAACTAGTACAATCCTTTAAGTGACATACATTAAAGAAAAACGAATCCCTTTTGTTTAATATTATTTGTTATTTTGCTTGCGTTCATGGAAGACGTATTTGTGTGGTGATAGGTGAGAAATAGACAGAAGGGGGGAATAGTTTCTAGATATAAAAATCGCTTGCTTTTGGTCAGTTCTTCCCTATAAAAAATAAGTTTGCAGTTCAATGAATCAGAAATGAATCTGTATCCATGAAGAAATTTGGAAATTGACAATCGTAAATGGCTCAGTTCCCTCAAATATAGTAGTAGTAAGAATATTAATTTTTAAAAAAGTAACAATCCCAAAAAGAGTTTTTCTAATGCTATGAAAAAACTGGATCGAACACATTAAACTTTTTTAGAGAAAGAAACAGCAATACCTCCAACTTAGCTCTGGCCAGAGCTTAACTTTCCATAAAGACACATCAAATTGTTTTCTTTTTAATCTTTTTAATCTTCTGTTTTCTCTTTTTTTTTATTTTTGTTCATTTAGATCTAGCTGCTTCATCCATGATACATAAGTAATTCAATATCATCATAGTCTGAATAGCCTGGCTCCCTAACTTAGGAAGTCTGTATTTCCTAATTATTTTGCTCATCATAATTGTTTTAAATTAACATTTTAAATTCAGAGAGTGACTATTTTTAAAGACATTTCAAATGATTACATTTCTTCCAGGTGGCGCTTGATTTGCACCTGGCAAAAGAACAGGGAAGCATCTGGTCCTTAACAAAGTTCCTCCTCTCACCTGCAATCCATCCTCACTAAAGCCAGCTGCCAACTATTCATAAGTGTAAGCAGGATGTGGCTTTGCCTGTAAATAAACTGTACCTGGGAAAATCACGTTGTTCAGTGACAAGGTATCCACTCTTTCCACTGAGGGGGAAAAGCCCTAAAGGAGTTTGATTCCAGTCTCGTGTTTCGTAAGCAAATTTCTACAACGTGACTAAACTTATTTAGAATTTCCTCTGTCGCTTGTTGGTATTAAACAGCAACCTGGCACCATCTCAATTCATGAAGAATATTTGAAGACAAGACTGAGTTGCTTGTAAAGCTCAGCAAGGGTCTTCTTTTTTCTGTTCTTTTTTTAAATTATGGTAAAATATACATAACACAAAATGTACCCTCTGATCCACTTTTGAGTGTATAGGTCGGTGGCACTAAGTACATTCACACAGTCGTGAGCAATCACCACCATCCGTCTACAGAAAGTTTCATCTTCCAGAACTGAAACTGTCTCCACGAAACATTAAGCCCGTTACCCTCCCCGGCCCCAGCAACCACCCTCTGCTTCCTGTCTCTGTGGGTGTGAGGACTCTAGGGACCTCATGCAGGTGACATTGTTCATTGTTTGTCCTTTTGTGACTGGCTTAGTTTCCATTGTAGATGGTCCCTAGGGTTCATCCATGTTGTAACATGTGTCAGAATGTTCTTCCTTTTTCAGCTGAATAGTAGATATTCCACATTTTCTTTGCACATTCATCTGTCAATGGATAGATGCTTCCAAATTTTGCCCATCATAAATTGTGCTGCCATTAATATGGATGTATAAATTCTCTTCAAGTCCCTGCTTTCAATTTCGTTGGGTCTATGATATGGTTTGGCTCTGTGTTCCCACCCAAATCTCATCTTGAATTGTAGCTCCCACAATTCCCAGTGTCATAGGAGCAACCCAGTGGGAGGTAACTGAATCATGGGGGTGGGTCTTTCCCATGCTGTTCTCATGACAGTGAAAATATCTCACGAGATCTGATGGTTTAATAAAGGGCAGTTCCCCTGCACACGCTCTCCTACCTGCCGCCATGTAAGATGTGACTTTGCTCCTCATTCCCCTTCTGCCATGACTGTGAGGCCTCCCAAGCCATGTGGAACTGTGAGTCCATTAAACCTCTTTCCTTTATAAATTACCCAGTCTCAAGTATGTCTTTATTAGCAGCATGAGAGCAGACCAATACACTATATAACTAGAAGAATTGCTTGACTATATGGCAATTTTATTTTTAATTTTCTGAAAATAGCCACACCATTTTCTAGAGCAGCTGCACCATCTTACATTCCCACCATCAGTGCACAGCGTTCCATTTTTTCCCACATTCTCACTAACCCTTGCAGTAGCCATTCCAGTGGGTATGAGGCGGTAACTCGCAGTTTTGGTTTGCATTTCCCTAATGATTAGTGACGTTGAGCTTCTTTCCGTGTGCGTACTGGCTGTTTGTTTACCTTCTTTGGAGAAACGTCTGTTCAAGTCTTGTGCCTATTTTTTAATTAGATTCTTTGTTTTGTGTGTGTGTTCAGTAGTAGGAATTTTTAATATTGTCTAGAAACCAATTCGTATCAGATCTATGATTTGCAAGTATTTTCTCCCATTCTGTGGGTTGCCTTTTCGAAAAGGGTACCGAGACCATTCAGTGGAGAGAGGACAGTGTTCTCAAGAAACAGTGCTAAGAAACCTGGATATTCACATCCAAAGGAATGACGTTAAACCCTTACATTACACCATATACAAAAATCAATTCAACATGGATCAAAGATCTAAATGTAAGAGCTAAAACCTTCTTAGAAGAAAACATAGGGGAAGCGTCATGACATTGGATTTGGCAAATGAATTTCTCGGATGTGACACCAAAAGCTCAAGAAACAAAAGGCAGAAAGAAATTGAACGTCATCACATTAAAAATGTCTTGAGCATCAAAGGGCACAATCAGCAAAGGGAAAAGCCCATGATTTACTTGGTTTTTCCATGGGGAGACAGGGAAGAGCTGCCTTGTCTAACGTCTTGCTGATACAACTCCTTCAAGGCCACGTTTTGCAGACGTGGGGGAGGGAAGAGAGGATGTGGAATTAAATTCTAGGTAAGGGACTAGGCGTCACAGACCCAGGGTCCTCAAAGTGTGGCCCCAATGACAGCAGCAGTGGCACCTGGGACGTGCTGGAAATGCAGATTGTCAGGCCCGGCCCAACCCCACTGAGGCCCAGGCTCTGCGCGGCCCACCAGGATGCATTGTGACAAAGCCTGGTGACTGTCACACACTGATGTGGAGAGCCACTGCTGTTGCCTGTATTTCTTTTTTAAATGAATTTATTAGCTGCATAAGCTCACTAAAAATACAAAAGGTTTTTTTTCATGTCTTCTTTTTTTATTATACTTTAAGTTCTGGGGTACATGTGCAGAACATGCAGATTTGTTACACAGTATACACGTGCCATGGTGGTTTGCTGCACCCATCAACCTGTCACCTACATTAGGTAGTTCTCCTAGTGCTGTCCCTCCCCTATCCCCCAACCCCCCAACAGGCCCCAGTGTGTGATATTCCCCCCCCCAACCCCCGTGTCCATGAGTTCTCATTGTTCAGCTCCCACTTACGAGTGAGAACATGCAGTGTTTGGTTTTCTGTTCTTGTGTTAGTTTGCTGAAAATGATGGTTTCCAGCTTCATCCATGTCTCTGCAAAGGACATGAACTCAACCTTTTTTATGGCTGCATAGTATTCCATGGCATCACCTGTATTTCTAAGAAAGTTTTTGAGCTGAGTAAAAGAACTAGAAAGTCATGGAGAGAGAGAAAACCAAGAAGTTTTTTTATTATTGTTATTATTATTATTACTATTTTTCCCACAATTATTCAAACCCAAGACACAGAGCTGATTTTTGTGGGCCATGGACTTAGATTTACATGTGCGACAGTTGACCAGTGCTTTCACATTTGCCGTCTCCCTGTGTATGCTGTCATCATGCCACTGAATTCCCGCAGCTGGAAAGCTGCTGTCTCGGATCAAACTACACCCAGAGGTGTGATGGTGGCAGCGGCCAAATCTGAAGGTGGTGTGTCAGCCTCCTGGCCAGGCATCTGCTCTGACCAGCAGGGGTGCATGGCAGCAGGCCTCCCCTCAGCTCCCACACTGCCTCCAACTCCACATCCGTGATTCCTAGGTACCGTTCATAAGGCTGTCCTTTAACAAGCCACTGAGATGTCCTGTGACCTCTCTAAAAAAAAATATCCACTCATTCCCTTCTCTAAGTCTATAAACAAAATGCTGGAACTTCCCATCTGTCTCACATGTGGGCGAGAAGACAGACCAGATGTCTCTCATGATCTCATGTCCATGGGGCCCTGGCACATGGTGGGGGCTCCCTTCCTCTGCAAGTATGTTCGGTGTACTTCCTCCTCATATGGGTGTACTTCCTCCTCATACGGGTATACTTCCTCCTCATATGGGTGTGTCCCTCCTCATATGGGTGTAATTCCTCCTCATACAGGTGTGTCCCCTGTTATACAGGTGTGTCCCCTTCTCATACAGGTGTGTCCCCTTCTCAGGAAGGTGTGTCCCCTCCTTATACAGGTGAGCCCCTCCTCATACAGGTGTGTCCCCTCCTCATACAGGTGTGTCCCCTCTTCAAACAGGTGTGTCCCCTCCTCATACAGGTGTGTCCCCTTCTCTGCAGCTGTGTTCCCTCTTCCTGCACAGGTGGCTGTCATCCTGCTGTCCACCTAAGGATCAGTCCAAGTTGCCTCAGACTCTGAGCCTCACTTGGCCCTATGAGTCCTCAGGTGTCAGGGCAGCACCGCCAGGTGCAAAGTTGGTGGCTGAGTGAGGTGCACACTCCACTGTTTGCTCCCTCCAGAGGATAAACACCGCTCCTGTGTCCCTGTTGAATACTCTGCCGTCTTTCCCATACTGGGAGGGCACTTTCACCTGTATCGCTGGTTCACCATTTCATAGTGTGTCCTAGGTGATTCCTAGTTGTCTCCTGAGAAAAAGTGTTTTTTGATGAACTATTTCCTGCAAACACTTGTCACACAAAGATGGGCAGACCAGGCTTCTTCTTTGCTGTAGGACTTCCCAGAGTCCCCAGGCTATGAGGACATGGTTATTTTCCAGGTTTTGTTGGCACACACATCTCTCTGTGTTTCTGGCTTGCACACAGCAGACACCATCAGCTCCCTCTGCTTTTCTCAAGGCTGCTGTGCCTATTCGCAGGAGCTCCCTGACAGCACATCTGACTGTGTGCTGTGCCCAGCTATGGTGAGGGCCAGTGGGGTCACCCAAAAGTCACCACTTTCCCACCCCTCAGCAGCAGCCTTCAGCTCGTGGAGGGTCAGGTGGCAGATAACACCCCAAATCTTGGGTTTTCAGGCTGGAACAACACCAAGGCATGCTCCTGCAGCCCCCAAAGCCCCAGGGGCCCCATGCAAGCAGGGGCTTCTGTCTCCCCTCACCTCCCTTCCTCGCCACTCACCCATGTTCCCTGCCATGACCTTCAGAATAAATCCACCTGCACTCAGATCCTCGTCAAATAGCTTTAGGCAGCCTGTTCTTGTTCAGTCCTCTTTGTGATCAGTTTCCCCTGGGGAAGAACCAGACATCCTCAACAAAAGGAGCCAGCAAACGGTAGATGTGAACACAATAAGTGACAGATCCAAGGGGGCGAGGGAGGCATTTGCAGGTGCAGGAGGCACCATCCGGGCATCCGACATCAGAGTCCGGTGCTGAATCATCACCGAAGCCACGAGAGTGGGAGGCAGGGGCAGCTCTGCATGCCTCCTACAGCAACCAAAATGCAGCCACAGCGGCTAAAGAAAAAGCACCCTTCCAGCAGCAGGAAACGAAGTGGACAGACACACCCATAATGATTTTCCAAAGATTATTAGTGTCTTTTATGTAACAGACTATAATTGCATAAAATAAGATGAGTTGTCCTCATTTTCAGAGGGCAGGAAAAGAAGCAGGCTTGTAACTGAGGACCAGGGCTATGCAGGAGGAATTCCTCCCTCCCTCTCGACGGGAGCGTGGGGAGCTCCCTCTCGACGGGAGCCTCCACCTGTGCTCTCAGTGTGGAGACTCTCGGGAAGCTCTTCCCAGGAGGGCAGGGTGGCCACCTTCAAGCGTCATACTGGCGGCAGCCTCCTTCCATTCAAGCGTCATGCTGGCCACGGCCTCCTTGCAGCCAGCCCCTCCGTCAGGGTCAGCGAGACAAAATTAGCATGCACAGGCACTGTGCAGGCCTCTCCTCCATGCCCTTGGCTAATTGAACTCACCCAGATGTTTTCTTTTCTACTCAGTGAAATGATGACATTATTGGAGGTTAATAGTTAAGGGTTTATCTAAATTAGGTATCCGTAAAGTCCTTAATTTAGCCATTGAGTGCCTAATAGAGATTAAATTGGACCTGGAGATACGGCCTATATTTCAATCTGGAGGGAAGCACTTTGCACAAAGCCCTGAGGATGAGCCTCACTGTGTCCCCGCCTTTAAAGGAATACATTGAATTTCTTCCCATGAGGTCCTGACTCTCAGGGATTTGCATGAGATTTCAGACATGTTCTCTTCGGCTTCTCCTCTGGGAATTCTCTCTGGATGAGCATCTAATTTCTGCTCCAGGAGACTTTATGAAGCTATCTGATGTGCTAGTGCAGAGGGTCCTGAAAGGAATTAGGGGAGAGGAAGCAGAAGTCACAGGAGACACCTGGGATAAAAGGGGAGAAAACACACAGGACCAATGGATATGGGACTTCTGAAGAACTTTTACCATGGGGATGCATTGCACACACTCAGCACAGTGGAGGGGGCAGCTGAATGATATAGGCTGATACAGGATGGGTCACGGGGAAGTGAAGGGGCACGGGGTCCAGCTGGGAGATCTCACCAGATCCTAATACAAAACTAAGGGATACTGGCCAAAGGGCAGCCCTGACCGAGGCAGAGTCTTGGGCAAATGTGGGAAAGTGACAGTTGTTGATAATAGCATGTGGGGCTGACTGTTCCTGGCAATAAAGAAAAGGAGTGGGGGTCACTCGGGTGAGGGGGACCTGGTCTCATCCAGACTCATGGAAAGACCGAGGATGGAGGCAGGACCACCAGTGACCGCAACCATTCATTCTTGAATCCCGGTGTGCAGGACACAATTACCCAGAACCCTTTTCTCCCCGAACTCGCTTCTCCAGAGTGTATGGGCAGGATCAGGCTGCATGTGTGTCCTGTGGTGCAGTGTGCACAGGGTGGTCATGCTTACAAGATGAGCTGGGGACCCCTGAGATGTCAGTCATGGGGTCGGCAGGCTGAGGCTCTGGCTGTTGGTGGGAAGGCGGTGGCTTCTGGGGGGGTATGGCTCCTTTGATTTAAAGTTAGTATTACAGTCCAGCAGTGCTAGGTCGACAAAGGAAAGCTGTTGATTTAGACCAAGCACGGTTTCCTTTCCAAGGCCATATAAGGCACAGAGTTCCTGCTTAGCTGCTGGACTGAGGGAAACTTACATGTCTGGCCCAACCAGTCTTTCTAGGTTCAATCTGCAGGAAATAAAGATGTTAACATAAGAAGCTATGTGAGATGGGCTTGTCCATGCACCCTATTACCATGCAAATGATCTGTGAAAACTTTCATAAGAAAGCACCTGAGAGAAGCATGGCAATCTCACAGGCTGGGAAGAAGAGCTTCCTGCCAAGACCAGAAATGGGCACTTCCAAGGAGGAGGGATTTGGGCAGCAGCTCTATGCTGAATAGGTTGGCTAAACATACATAGTCAACAGGTGACAGAAGGAGCTGTGGATATTCATGAAGGGAGTCCTGACACATGCATATACATAAAACCCATGTTCACTTTGGAGTAGACACTTAACATTTAAATATCAAAGGGAGCCATACCCTGTGTCTCATTCACATTTGTTTCATGGAGGTAGAGAGAGCCTGTCAGCCCAAAACCTAATCTTCCCCTCGCCTCTTCATAGATACTGTCTTATATGTTTTCCAACACCACTAACATGTTTGTTTCAAACATCTGTATTACACAAATCAAACACCACCAAGGATATAATTATCTTTCCCCCTCGATAACTAAAGAACATCAATTTAGCCTATAGGTTTGTAATACTGTTTTTCTATACCATAAAGACACATGCACACATATGTTCATTGCAGCACTATTCACAATAGCAAATACATGGAATCAACCTGAATGCCCATCAGTGGTAGACTGGATACAGAAAATGTGCTACACAGATACCATGCAATACTATGCAGCTATAAAAAAGAACAAGATCATGTCTTTTGCAGCAACGTGGGTGAAGCTGGAGGCCATGATCTTAAGCAAACTAACACAGCAACAGAAAACCAAATACCACAAGCTCTCACTTGTAAGCAGGAGCTAAATGATGAAAACACAGGGACATGAAAAAGGAAACAATAGACACCAGGGCCTGCTTGAGGTTGGAGGTGAAAGGAGGATGGAGATCAAAAAACTACCAATCAGGTACTATGCTTATTACCTGGTGCCATTACAATCCGTACAGCAAACCCCCGTGACACAAGTTTACCTGTATAACAAACCTGCACATGTACCCCTGAAGCTGCAATCACATTTTAAAAAGCAACCAAACAAAACAAACACAAAAAAAAAATTACATATGATCTGTCTTCACTCAAAAATGCAGAAGCTGTATGGCTGGACTTCTGTACTCTCTTCCCATTGTGTTCTGCCTGGTGGAATGACAGTGACATCCTTTACAGCCATCTCCTTTCTCCCCACACCTGAGAGCCAGGTTGGTTGTTACCTGCCATGAGCCACAGGGGAAAATAACTTGATCCTTACAATATCTTTTGGAAAGAGATATAAAAATCCCATTTTACAGATGAGAAAACTGAAACCTAAAGAGGTTAAATAATTTTTCCAGGATAATCTCAGATACCTGTGGAGCCAGAAGCTGTGTCCTGCTCTCCAAGCTTCTGTTATAAAGCGCTGCTAGCTATGCTGCTCTAAGCCATTCCACGCGTTGCTGTAGGTAGTATCCCACTGACCCGTGCATCCGAAGGCTGCTAATTGAATCCTCATCCTTAAGATGCTTTGAGTAAATCTGGCATATAAAGTTATAATTAAATTATTATCCACAGCTTTAATTAACTAAGAAATTTCATTCGTGTTTTACAATTAAGTGATTAAATAATCAATTTTCAAATATTTCCTAAATGAAGTCATGAGCTTCAAGAACCCAAGCGCTATAATTCAATTAAGAAGAATGAAATAAACCCTTGACAATTGCGTAGGTCGAAACCCTCTGAGGCCATCAACCCTCCCGGGGCCTAAGTCAGGCACTTTGGCAGGAGTATCAATAAGTGAGAAATCGTTGAATATGTTCACAAGAAAGCAAAACTTATCAAAGTCCACTCTGAACCAAGCACTATAATAGGCGAACTTGCATACAAGAACGTTTTAACTGTCACGAGAACACTGTAAGAGAGATGAAAAATTATTCCTTTAAAAAGTATGAAAACTGGCACACAGAGTTCAAGTGACTGCCCTGAGGAGCACAGCTATTCACTGACAAACAGGAATGGGAGCCCAGGCTTTCTGCCTCTGTGCCCAGCGTGTCTCCTGCTTCAGCACCGCCTCCCTGCATGCCTTCGCCCCCGCCTAAGCCCTGACCTCAGCACTCATACTTACCCACTGTGCCACTGAAAAGCTCTGCCTCAGTTTGCCCATTTGTTAAGTGGGAAAAATAGTAACAACTGTGTCATAAAGTCATTGTGAAGACTGAATAAACAGGTGCATGTAACATAGCTTGTACATTTGTACAAATGTCCAGAAAGCTGGGGTGCTATTTTTCTTACTATGACGATTTGTGTATTGGGGGTACCATTTGGGTAGTTCACAGAATTCTTTCCCATCTTCACAATAATCATCTGAGGTAGTCGTAGTCATAAAAATAATAATATTTCCATTCCAGAAATGGAGACGCACAGGTTCAGAAAGACTAAATGACTTGCCCAAAGAATTTTGTCCAGAAAGTGGAAGAACAAAAACACAACCTTATTTCAGCCTTCTTGTCCTGGTCCATGACAACGCAAAGCATTAACTTAATGACCTCATGTTTCCTTCACCCCCTCCCTTCCATTCCTCGTCCTACAGTGTTAAAGATAGAACCTTACTCTAGGGAGTAGGAGCTTTACATGGTGAGAGAGAGTTTATGTAGTCTCACTTTGGACTATAATATCGAAAGAAAAGCTACGGATTTTTCACCTGCTTTTCCTTCCCCTAAAATATTGAATGACCCACTATAGAGTTTTGTCATTTACATTGCATAACTATCTTATCCAAATCATCAACCGTATGTCTCACTCTTAACAAACCTCCTTCCATCACACAGGTCAGCTTATTAGCCCATTAGCTCATTCCCTGGCCTCTCCAGTCACCTTTTAACTTTCCTTTTCTTTGACCACTACTGTTCTTATTTGCACCACTGAAAGCGTATTCTCCTACTTAACTGGCAATTTTTAATTTTCTCAACTAAAAAATAAGTTTTTAAGAGCATGGTTCTATATTAAATTTCTGATTTCCTCACAGCATGTGATTTACTAGTGAGTACATGCAACATGTAAATAATGGAAGGACAGATGGATGGATGAGTTTAGATGTATGGACAGAAGGATGAGTGGACAGATGGATGGATGGAAGAATGGGTGGATGGGTGGTGAATGGATGGGTGGGTGGATGGGTGGGTGGATGGATGGATAGATGCGTGGATAGATGGAAGGATGGATGGATGTAGATGGATGATGAATGGGTGGATGAATGGATGGATGGAAGGATAAATTGATGTAGAGGGATGAATAACGAATGGACAGATGAAAGGATGGATGTAGGCGGATGGTGAATGAATAGATGGGTGGGTGGGTGGATGGATGGATGGATGGAAGAATGGATGTAGATGGATGGGTGGTGAATGAATGGATGGGTGTGTGGATGGATGGATGGGTTGGTGGGTGGATGGATGAATGAAAACATGAATGTAGATAGATAGATGGTGAGTGAATGGATGGTAAATGGATGGATGGATGGATGGATGGATAGATGGGTGGGTGGGTGGATGGATGAATGGAGGGAAGGATTAATGTAGATGGATGGATGGTGAATGAGTGAATGGATGGGTGAGTGGATGGACGGATGAATGTAGATGGATGGATTGTGAGTGGATGGATGAGTGGGTGGATGAATGGATGGGTGGGTGGATGGATTGATAGATGGAAGGAGAATGTAGACGGATGGTCAGTGGATGGATGGGTGGGTGGATGGATAGATGGATGGATGTAGATGGATGGTGAATGGATGGATGGGGTGGGTGGGTGGATGGCTGGGTGTATGGAAGAATGAATGAGTGGGTGGATGGATGGAAATGGATGGTGAATGGATGGATAGATGGGTGGATGGATGGATGGATAGATAGATGGATGAGTGGGTGGGTGGATGAATGGATGAATGAGTGAGTGGGTGGATGGATGGATGGATGAATGAGTGAATGGGTGGGTGGATGGATAGACAGATGAATAGATGGATGGGAGAATGGAGGTAGATAGAAAGATGGTGAATAGATAGAGTGGTGGGTGGATGGATGGATGGATGAATGTAGATGGATGGATTGTGAGTGGATGGATGAGTGGGTGGATGAATGGATGTGTGGGTGGATGGATGGTTAGATGGAAGGAGAATGTAGATAGATGGATGATCAATGGATGGATGGGTGGGTGGATGGATAGAGGATGGATAGATGGATGGATGTAGATAGATGGATGGTGAATGGATGGATGGGATGGGTGAGTGGATGGGTGAGTGGATGGCTGGGTGGATGGAAGGATGAATGAGTGGATGGATGGATGGATGGATGGATGGATGTAGATAGATGGAAATAGATGGATGGTGAATGGATGGATAGATGGGTGGGTGGATGGATGGATAGATGGATGGATGAGTGGGTGAGTGGATGGATGGATGAATGAGTAAGTGGGTGGGTGGATGGATGGATGAATGAGTGAGTGGGTGGGTAGATGGATAGATGGATGAATAGATGGATAGAAGAATGGATGTAGATGGATGGTGAATGGATAGAGTGGTGTGTGGGTGCATGGATGGATAGATGGATGGATGGATGGATGGATGGATGGGTGGATGGACAGATGGATGAATGAGTGGGTGGATGGATGGATGGATAGATGGACAGACAGATAGATAGGTGGATGGGTGAATAGCATTTGTGTTAACCTGCAATAGTGGTAGATTTGTACTCCCCCATGCTGAATAAGGAAACATTTCTTTACCTTCCTTTTTTTCTAATACTCTCCAGAAAAAGATAATCTACTGACTTCGAGTCTTCCTTTTATTTAGTTTTTATCATCTCTTGCAATGGCTTTCTCAATATTCTTAGATAACTCTCATTTAATCGATTTTTACTCTTGAACCTTTTATTCTCACTTAAGTCCAAGCTATTAGGAATTAGCTGCGAAATCAGCTAAACTCATACTGATATCTGAAAAAAAGGAGGTTTCTATTAATGTCTTAATAGTCTTAAAACATTAAAATGGTGACTAGAAAGGTGTTGAATTTTTCATTGTCCTCTGGTCCCACACACAGAGGCGATTCCTTCAATAGCTGAAGAACTTGAAAACTGAAGGACATGGTTAAATAAAAATACTAATTCAATTTGCAAGGGGAATCAAAGAAGTTGTTAGGAATGGCAGACCAAAAACTGTATAATATTTAACAAATGGAATATATTATTAACATTAAAGAATTAATTCGCCTGCATAATAAGAAAGGAAACTGAAGACAGTTAGTTTTGAGGGAGCATAAATGGCAAAGAAAGGTCTTCAGCAAGAACCAGATGTAGGTTCCAGGTTTCTCACATTCTCCCACATGAAATGGGGCAAAAGCTCTCCTAAGGAAAAATGAGTCCCAAGCACAGGACAGAAAAATAAGCTTTGAATTTGGGTGTTTTTCCCCCTTGGCCTATGCCTACTTAGAGGAAAAATTTACATCACTTTGTACTTGGTGTCATCCTAGAAGTTTCCGTTGTTTGTTTGTTTGTTTGTTTGTTGTTTTTATTCATTCACTTCTCTCCAGGCCTTCCCAACCCATTGTAGGTGTTATTTCAATTTAGTCTTTTGTGCTGAAGTAGTTTTCATCCCTCTTTGCTCTTGTCCCATCTCATTTACTTTACTGTCTTCTATCAGTTTAAGTACAGTCAACTCGCTTTTCAGACTGGCTCATTGCATTTCCCCATCTTCCTTGTTTTTGTTTTTCCTCTTGTCCATTCAGCTCAGGTGGTCATACCCCTCGAGCATCTCTTGGTCTGTTTATTTTATACTGGGTCAGAATTCTCTGTTTCTCTCCCAAGTTTTCCAAGAAAAAAAATCAAAACGGCAAAGTGTTAAACTGAACTTTTCTATCTTCTGTGCTTTTACCATATACAGTATAACAGGTAGCTTGGTTCTTATTGATCTTTTCATTTAATCTCATAAGAACAGTGTCTCACTCTCAAGAGTACGACTGCTGGTCCTTTCATTTTATAAGAATGTTTATTGTCGGGGTAGCACTTGGGTGAGCCTGGAATAACACTGTCATTATTTGAACTGAGAGAGTAGCTATTAAGTGAAAATGTCTGGTTTTCTATTTTGTGTGTGGATGTTTTTGTTTTTTCAGTTTGGCTTCAAGCACAGCATGGCCATCTCTAGCAGGCCTGTGGTTTGAGCTCCACACTGAAAACATGAAACATTAACATATACTAACACAGAGGAAACTTAAAATTTAGATTAAAATGTGAAGACATGAATTCCACAGGGTGATGCTTAGTGGTGGGGACACAGACAAGACCTAACCAGGGAGAAATTTGACAAAGACATTAGGAAACCACACCTACCAAGGAGGGAAACCTGAGCTGTCTTCTGATCTTCCCCAGAAGGGGTTCTTGGAAAAAGGGAAACTATTTATTGGGACAGGGTAATAAGGAGATAAGCTGTTGCAGAAATTTTGAATAATCCAGATCTTACACAGTTATATTGTTTAAATTTTATTAGCGTAATATACCCCATGGGGTATTTAACTTTATAGTTATGGGCAAGTTAGAGAAAGATCCTATTTCAAGGATGTTTTATCATGCATTGGTTAAAAATCAGACTGAAACTGAATTTTGTTTTGTTTTGTTTCTTCATTGTTAATTGGGACCAGGGTGTTGAATATCCACACATTTACTTGGGAATTGACTTGTAATATAAAATCAAATGAATATTTATTTCCACAGTATAAGGAGAGAATTCAGAATAACAGAATTAGCACAAGTTTCTTAATTTCTCTAAGCTCAATTCCCTCATCTGCGTAAAATACAGAGATGAATATCCTATTATCAATGTCAATTTTGAAAATTAAAGGAGATTCTATACATTATTAAGCATGGGAAGCGTCAACATTTCAACAAATTTTAAAATTTCTTTTGATTTTACAACATTAATAGATTGTCACAGAAAAAAAGACAAATATGTCATGAGAATAAGTAAAAATGATTGATTTACTTCCTGTGTGATTTTGTGTAAGTGAAGAGTAATACCTACTTCATAGGAAGGATTGAATGTGAGTTTAATGACATAATATGTCTAAAGGACTTGGAAAATATCTTTAACTGTTATTATTTATTATTGAGTGTCTTCCAAAACAAATAATCATATGTAAACAATGGGTTTTCTGCATCAAATCTTCTTTCCTCTGAGAAGTTGTCTCTTTATTCTGAAAGATTAACCACACTAACTCTTCTTTCTTTCAGATGTTAGAAAGCTTATGTTAAAAACAGTGCATCTGAAGCAAAAACAATAAAAACAGCAGATAGGAATATTGCTTTTCCAAAAAACAATTTTTTTTAGATAAGTTGCAGGTAAAAGATTTTGCTAGACATATTTTTTCTATTTTTTTCCCAAGGAATCTAGGATATTCTTCTCTAAATGCATAATGAAAGGCAATTCAGGAGGCAGATGTTATTAACTACCCAACAGCAAGTGAAACTAGTCGTCTACTGCACAGATGCAAAAGCTGACATCTGGTCTACCTGACAGTCCTACTTAGGGAAATGATTCAGCTGACACTACCAAGTGAGCTGAGAAACTGGTCCACCAGTGAACCCATAAAGTGTAATCACAAAATATCCTGCAGTGTTGTGAATGAATAGTGCTAGCTATTCATTCCTCTAGGTCTAGCAAAGGCTGGAGTGAGGCTTGAACACATGAATTTTCGTTGTCATGTCTGTGAGCACCTTGGCTAAGGCACAAAAATGGCTGTAAAACTCACCTGAAGTCTGTGCTCATGTTCTCTTGAGGACCCCATTTCATTACTTAAAACAGTTTCATCTCCTGGCATTTCATGCATTTGTTCTGTTGGACTTTGGAAACACATTAGGAACCACTTTACAGTTAACACTTGGCTCATAGCTTATCTTGGACCAGAGTGTTCATAATCTTGTTTAATTTATGTTAGACTTTAGACATTTTTCAGGAAACCGGTACAGACCTGCCCCCAGGACAGGCTACAGATAAATTAGGTTGTGCAAAACTAAGAATTAAAATTGAAAATATTATGTGTAGCTGATGTCATTCATTATCATGACATTGAAATTTTGTCACAATGTGGGGGTATATCGTGGGCTCTGGCTCCAAAAAGCAATCTCTGAGCCAGATGCTACCAGTTTTAAAGATGGTAAGAAAAAAAAAAAAAAGGCGTTTGTAGCAAAGGTGTGGAATATTAAGGACTGGAGATATAATATTAGATTTAATATTAGACACGGTCCACACCATGAGGATCAGATTGACTGTCCCACGGTCACCTAGCTCATCAGTGGCCATGTTCAGTTTGGAATCCAGGCTGTCTCGGAGCCCAGGTGCTGCTCAGCTTGTCAGCACTAATGTGCAGCGGAGACTCAGGAGACCCATAGTGAAGGGCCTGCCTCCATCCTGGGGGAGACTCAGAAGCCCCATAGTGAAGGACCTGCCTCTGTCCTGGGGGAGACTCAGGAGCCCCATCATGAGGAGCCTGCCTCCATCTGCTGAGGAGACTCAGGAGCCCCATAGTGAAGAACCTGCCTCCATCTGCTGAGGAGACTCAGGAGCCCCATCATGAAGGACCTGCCTCAGTCCTGGGGGAGACTCAGGAGCCCCATAGTGAAGAAACTGCTTCTGTCCACCGAGGAGACTCAGGAGCCCCATAGTGAAGGACCTGCCTCCGTCCACTGAGGAGACTCAGGAGCCCCATAGTGAAGGACCTGCCTCCATCCTAGGGGAGACTCAGAAGCCCCACAGTGAAGGACCTGCCTCCATCTGCTGAGGAGACTCAGGAGCCCCATCATGAGGAGACTGCCTCTGTCCTGGGGGACACTCAGGAGCCCCATGATGAAGGACCTGCCTCCATCTGCTGAGGAGACTCAGGAGCCCCATAGTGAAGGACCTGCCTCCATCTGCTGAGGAGACTCAGGAGCCCCATAGTGAAGGACCTGCCTCCATCTGCTGAGGAGACTCAGGAGCCCCATCATGAAGGGCCTGCCTCCATCCTGGGAGAGACTCAGGAGCCCCATAGTGAAGGACCTGCCTCCATCTGCTGAGGAGACTCAGGAGCCCCATCGTGAAGGGCCTGCCTCCATCCTGGGAGAGACTCAGAAGCCCCGTAGTGAAGGACCTGCCTCCATCTGCTGAGGAGACTCAGGAGCCCCATCCTGAGGAGCCTGCCTCTGTCCTGGGGGAGACTCAGGAGCCCCATAGTGAAGGGCCTGCCTCCACCTGCTGAGGAGACTCAGGAGCCCCATCATGAAGGGCCTGCCTCCATCCTGGGAGAGACTCAGAAGCCCCATAGTGAAGGACCTGCCTCCATCTGCTGAGGAGACTCAGGAGCCCCATCATGAAGAGTCTGCCTCCATCCTGGGAGAGACTCAGGAGTCCCATAGTGAAGAACCTGCCTCCATCTGCTGAGGAGACTCAGGAGCCCCATCGTGAAGGGCCTGCCTCCATCCTGGGAGAGACTCAGAAGCCCCGTAGTGAAGGACCTGCCTCCATCTGCTGAGGAGATTCAGGAGCCCCATCATGAAGGGCCTGCCTCCATCCTGGCAGAGACTCAGGAGCCCCATAGTGAAGAACCTGCCTCCATCCTGGGGGAGACTCAGAAGCCCCACAGTGAAGGACCTGCCTCCATCTGCTGAGGAGATTCAGGAGCCCCATCATGAAGGGCCTGCCTCCATCCTGGCAGAGACTCAGGAGCCCCATAGTGAAGAACCTGCCTCCATCCTGGGGGAGACTCAGAAGCCCCACAGTGAAGGACCTGCCTCCATCTGCTGAGGAGACTCAGGAGCCCCATCATGAAGGGCCTGCCTCCATCCTGGGAGAGACTCAGGAGCCCCATAGTGAAGAACCTGCCTCCATCTGCTGAGGAGACTCAGGAGCCCCATCGTGAAGTACCTGCCTCTATCCGGGGGGAGACTCAGGAGCCCCATAGTGAAGGATCTGCCTCTGTTTTGGGGGAGACTCAGGAGCCCCATAGTGAAGGGCCTGCCTCCATCTGCTGAGGAGACTCAGGAGCCCCATCATGAAGGGCCTGCCTCCATCTGCTGAGGAGACTCAGGAGCCCCATCATGAAGGACCTGCCTCTGTCCTGGGGAGACTCAGGAGCCCCATAGTGAAGAACCTGCTTCTGTCCACCGAGGAGACTCAGGAGCCCCATAGTGAAGGGCCTGCCTCCATCTGCTGAGGAGACTCAGGAGCCCCATGATGAAGGACCTCCTTCCATCTGCTGAGGAGACTCAGGAGCCCCATCATGAAGGGCCTGCCTCCATCTGCTAAGGAGACTCAGGAGCCCCATGATGAAGGACCTGCCTCTGTCTTGGGGGAGACTCAGGAGCCCCATAGTGAAGAACCTGCTTCCGTCCACTGAGGAGACTCAGGAGCCCTGTCGTGAAGGGCCTGCCTCCATCCTGGGAGAGACTCAGGAGCCCCATAGTGAAGGACCTGCTCTGTCCACTGAGGGGAAGGAAGGTGCGTCTCACTCCCAAGGCCAGAGCTAGTGTTCTTCAGGGCCTTTGTCTGCCCACCCTGCTTCAGCCACTCTGCCCAAAGGAGAGGAGGGAGTGAGAGGTGGCAGGAAGGGAAGGGGACGAAGCGGTTCTCATGAGTAAACGGGGTCATGCCAGCTGGCATAATGTTCCTAAGAAGTGAGACCCCAGGTGGGGAGCCTCGCGTTGAAGATTAAAGATAGCAGATCTGCTCAGCTTAACTGGAGTTATTCTGCTCCTGTTTATTCCATCTGCCCTACACGTCCCATATCCTCTGCCCATTTTAAGTTTTACTGTTTCCTGCACATTCCGTGTCACTTTTCACCTCCAAAGAAGCTTCGCTCCAGCCTGAAATGCTGGCTTCCTTCCCCACAGGACCCGCTATCGCTGTCCAAACCCCACTCCTGCCCAGGACGCTCTTCCAAGGCCAGGATCCTCATCAGGGCTCAGATGCACTTGGATCCCTCCCTTCTTCCCATATTTCTTGCCTTAATAATTTCCCAATCGGCTCAGGTGAGTCACTCAACTCTCTTAGGGCAGGAGATGCCTTTTAGATCAGCGCACAGCCAGGCACACAACTGCTGTGCAAATAAGAGACCTGACTCGGGCTCCTAATAAACCCGTGGCTGCGTGTCTGCTGTAAGCGTCCTGGCTGGAGTCGCTTCTTAGTCTTTGTACCATAAGCATGTGTGTCCTGTGACTCTATGGATATGTACTATAAATATGTATGAATTGCAACTATACATAGAAACGACATAATAAGCTACAACTAACTTTACGTTCATCCACATATATACACACACACACATATGGAAAGTTAGCTATATATATATATGTGCATGTGTGTGTGTGTGTATATATATGTGTGTGTGTGTATATATATATATGTATACCAAATTATTTTTGGAAGACAAATTCATATAAAATGTTTTTTCCCATTTACGTCTTTTACAAAGTAATTTCTAAAATTTATTTTAGTGAAGTTTGTACATTTTTTTACAAAAGAACTGAAGAAAACCTTTGCCCTGTTAAAAATGCTTTTTAAATTTCTAAGAGTTCCTTAATGCAACTAACAGCATACATTAGACAGGCTCCTTCAGGTGAACAGAATGTGTTGATTCTTGCAATTGTATTTATCAAAACATGTAACTACTATACTTTTCTGATTTTTTTATCCAAATAGCATGAAAACAGATGTGGTGAGATTAATAGAAAATGCCAAACAGTAAGCAATATAAGAATTCCTGCATAATGTCTTTGAGAAGAATATTCTCCTTGAAAGAGGATATAGTCAATAATAAATCAAGATGCTTCAGGGTTACAAGGAGCAGCTGAATTTTCATCACAGAAAATAAGACTTTTTTATTTAAATGAAATCACTCGTTTAAAGCAAAAATGTAAAACTTGAAATGGCAGTTAAGGTAGCTTCTCCCCGAGGGAAATTGAGATGTATCTGTGTGCATTAACATCTTTTAATGTTCTCTTTCCTAAAAGCTTTGAGAGGTGGGAAATCTTAGAAAACAAAAAATTAAGTGTTCATAATATAAATGCCTTTTTATTATTATAAAGATGGTTACAATACTACAAAGTATCGTATGAAGAATAACCCAGTTCCAATGGTAACATTATTATTTTGGAATATCAGAGTAGCTGCTGGATGAGAAGCCAGGCATAATTACCTTTCAAACTGCAGACATTATCGGCTTTTGCTCACGAGAAGTAAGTGTGATCGTTAAAAATCAGTGAAGACTTTCTTTAAAACAAAAAGAGACCTAGGCTAATTACAAAAAGAATTTTTAAAAAGTAGCTGCTAGGGTAGTATAGGTTTCCCTTGTGATGATTCTCCATATTGTAAAATTCTGGAAAATTAACAGATCAATCCAAGTGGCTTCTGAAGAGCTGCTCTATTTGAATAGAGGTGTTCATTGTACACCCACACACAAGCATGCACACACGCACATGCAAACACATATCACGTACACACACACACAGCCTCGCAAGAGCCACTTCCATTACAAAATGAAGTTATATTACAAAAGGTGATGACGGGGGCTCGAGCCTCAAACATCCTCCCGACTTCTCTGGTTCGTACATAATTTCATTCAACTCAGCTAACGTTTGTTTAGTTAAGAAGACAAACATTGTCAAGAACAGAAAGGTGGTGCTGTCACAAGCAACACGCTCTAGCAAAGCAATTTTATCATAAAGGTTACCCATCCCTTTCTATAAAATCATTTTCCCTTCGAAACGTTTTTACTCATTTTGCTGAATGTCGTATTATGAGTGACATGTGGACTAAAACCTTCCCGGAGGCCACATCCTTCCAGCCTCACGTTGCCTGCTGGGGTGGCCAGCAGGGAGGCAGGTGGCAGCCAGGGACAAGACAGGACCCGAGCTGGACGCAGGCAGGCCTGAGTTTAAATTCTCCCGTGCAGGTTTTGGAACGATGCTGTGAACCCTGAAGTCTCGCCCAGGAAGTGGAAGGAGAGAGAGGGGCCTGGCAGGGCGGCCACAGTTTGGATGAGAGGACACTGCAGGATGGTGCAGAGGCAGGCTCAGTCCAGGGCTGTGAAGGCTCCGCCCTCAGACAGAAGGAACACAGGCCCCCTCGTTAATGGTCCTTGCGCAGAAGGAGGCTCAGCCCGGGGCAGCAAAGGCTCTGCCCTCAAGCGGAAGGAACACAGGCCCCCTGAGTTAATGGTCCTGTCTTTTACCACAGCAGAGATTAGAACATCTTTAACAAGCTTTCTCCACCAGGAGTAACACTGAGGGGAGGAAAGCTTCACACCCTCCCTTGAGTTCATTTTATGCAAAAGCATCGGCTTGGAAGCAGGCCTGAGCCCCGCTCTTGTCTCACCAACACCTGTCTGAGCTCCTGCCGTTCATCTGCTCCCAGCCCCCCAGCCAGCACCACCTTCCCCGTAACCTGGGCATCCACAGCCCGGGGACACCTCTCATTGGAGGCACAGCCGGCCTCGGGCCAGGGTGGGTTCTGTGCCCTCCCTCGTGCTCCACGGCCTCCCAGGGGACCCAGGTCCGTGCTGTGCTTCAATTTTTTGAGGATCTGAATCTTCCCCCAACGAAGCTGTGAGCCCAAGTGCCCTTGTTCCCGGACCAAACTGAGGGTTGGGCTGCTATTTCTCTCTGCCCAATAACGAGATGCAGATGAACTGAGGAGGAAGGAGTTTTTATTTCTGTAACTGGTTACAGGGAGAAGGAGCAGAAACTATCGCCAGACCAACTCAGAATGACAAAGTTTTCCAGAGCTTCTGTACCTTCTAAGCTCTATGTCTACGTGTAAGTGTTCATTCCCCTAAAGACATAAGTGATGAACTTCTTCTAGTCTATAACTAAGGTCGAGTCCTGAAGACCTTCCTCTGGAGCCTCAGTGAGTTTACGTCATCTAAATGGTCCAGGTGCCGGGGTGATTACCCTTATCTTGTCTGCTGCTAAATCATGGAGGTTTGGGGGGTTTCTTCAGACCCCCAGTAAAACTTGTTTAATTCTAAATGGGTCCTGTTAAGAATGCCTTCGTTGTTTTGTCATGCTTCAAGGCCCAGGAAAGGCCCGGGCAAAACTCTTGGTGGGCTTTTGTCCTATTCCAGCCGTTGTATAAGGGCACTGGCTTCTGATGTTCAACTTCACCACCCAGTCAATACTGAAACAGTTGCTACGGAGGCCTGCGTTAGTGAGACCTGGCCTGCCACACCCACACATCTGAGGCCCCAGCGGGAGCTGAAACCTGACACAAAGACAGCAGGCCTTGGAGAGTGAGGGCCAGACACCTCCATTTAAAACGCAGAAAGCGGTGAGAGGCAAAACATTTTCAAATTACAGTTAATGTGGAATTTCTCATACCGGCCTCTGTGTACATCACCTCTTCGTGTTATTTTAAATCTCTCGTTATCAGCCTTCTCGGAATCTAATAGCTTCACCTGAATCTTCGTGTTATTTTAAATCTCTCGTTATCAGCCTTCTCGGAATCTAATAGCTTCACCTGAAACTCAAACCCTTTTTTAACGTATACTTGAAAATATAGTTGTTTTCTTTCTGATTACAAAAAAATCAGCACCTAAATATTAAAATAGCCTCCGTGTTCTATAGTATGTGTTCAATATGCACCAACTTGTCAAATGATACCATAATTGCACATTCAGTTACATTTACAGTCAACAGCATAATGGTAATGCCACCATATAGGGTCCACCGAGGTGTATCTTAGCGGAAACTTTGATTCATTTTAGACCTATATTTATAAAATTATTACATTTCTGAAGGAATCATTTAAATTTTTTAGACATTCTATACACATAAATGGAACTTCTTGCTACTGATCCTTTAAATTATCTCCGCGCTGCATTTCCAACTTCCTGTATTGTTCTCCCCACAATTTCCTGTCAGTGGGGCAGGGCAGCAGTCCTCATCCCAACTCAGGGTTGGTGGGAGGTGGGCCTGGGAGAGACACTCAGGCTCAGGGTTGGACAAAGTGGATCGAATCCCTGCTCCACCCCTCAGTCATCTATGGATGTGATCTTGGCCAAACAACAACCTCAACACCGACAACCTCACCACCTGAACGTCCGCATCTGGGAAGCCGGACTGATTCCTTTTGTAAGGAGGTGATGAGGGTTGCAGGAGACTTCGACCCAGCAGCTTATCCACACGTTTTAATCCACTTCCCTGGTGACAATACTCTCTGCCTTTTCCTATTCTTCCCTGAGATCACTTTAAAATCAGTCACAGAGCAAACCATACGTCCTCCCTGCAGGCTTGTGGGGCAGTGAGAATGACATTGGCCAGTGCAGCACTTCCATGCATGCAAGATGTCCTGGGCACACACGAGAGACCCCAGCCCTCATTTCACACCAGCTGCCACAATTCGGAGAATGCTGTGGTCCTGGCTATCCCACCGTGTTCTTTCTCAAGCTTCGCCTTTCCTTGCATGACTCCTCTTCCTACTCTCTTCACTTCATTTTCTCTTTGATTATGATAATTCCATTCCCAAAGCTTACATCGGAGTTGACATGGCTTGAATTCTTTCCAGACCAGGATTTTTTTAGAAAATGGGAGATTTTTTTGGCTTGTTAGTTTTTTCTTTTTAAGGATGTATATCAGCCAGGTTCATCTTCACCTGGGATCTCCTTTAAAACTGAGGATCCATTGAACCACGTATTCATTGTTCAGGAGATATTTAGGAAGAGGCTATGGCTGTGCGAGATTCTGGCTTCCAGCTGAGCAGAACCACCCTTGCCCTTGGGGGATGCCTGGGCCTTCCCTGCCCAAGGTGACCATCTCCCCAAGGACAATAATCAATAACAATGCAAAGCAAAAGAGAAAGTGGAGCCCTGGGGACCTTTGCATTGATTCTTTGAATAAGCTTTGAATAAGCATATTCATATTAAGCATACTCATATAAGTATATTGAATGGCAATCTGTACCACAGCCAGACAGCAAGGTTATGTTCCCAGACAAAGGAAATAAGTCATAATTGCAACCTCCATTAAAGAGATTTGGAACTTTTCGACTTGGGACTTTTCACTTAGATAAGTGAACGTGCATCCTAGATTAAAATACCCTCATGAAAAAATATTTCTAGCAAAAGTAAAAAGGTAAAGGTCACAGTCACGGGCTGAGACTTCATGAAATGGAAGACAAACTCTATTGTGTAAAACTTCAGAGAATTAGGGGCGTGAGCTTCCTTCATACCTATATTTACTTTTTCCTCTAGCCAGCCAGCCCTTGACTGACCTCATGAGCTAATATTTGTCAATGATGAAGACATTGCCAAGCCAAACAAATTCCATCTTGATATTCTAGGGCAATTTCTCAATATATCACAAGTTAAATAAGACACCCTGAGAGCTATGTTTCTATCATTCAAAGATATCATTCATTCATTCATTCATTCAGTTACTATCTCTGCATTTTCCATGAGGTGTCAGGCTTTATGCTGGAGACATAAAATAAGTAACATAGTCATGGAATTTATAGGATTCTGGGAGAGTGGCTTAATAAGATAATCATATTAATATATTATAATGAACTGTGATGCATGGCATGAAGGAAAAGAACAGGAACTAAAGCAGAAGTGGGTGCCTGACCTAATCTGAAGTGTGGCGGGGAGCTGAACCTGAATATTTCTTTCCTGGGAGATTTTAAATTATGAGTTCACTTAATGGTTATAAGACTATTCAGGTTAGCTATTCCATCTTGGTTGAGTTTTTGCAGTTTATGGTTTTCTACAAGCCATTTCTTCTAAGTATGGAATTTGTGAACTTAAAATTGTTCATAGTTTTCCCTTATTCTTTTAAAAACTACACGTTCTGTAGTAATAGCACCTATTTCATTCCTAATACCAGAGATTTGTATTTCTCTCTTTGTGTATCTTTCTCAGTCTTGCAAGACATTTTTTAGTTTTATAGATTTTTTGGAAGAACTAGTTTCATTTCACTGATTTTCTATTTTCTTGTTTTCAATTTGATTGATTTCTTCTCTCATCTTTATTCTTTAATTCTGCTTGCTTTGGGTTTATTTTTCTTGTTTTTTATAGTTTTATAAAATAGAAACTTGCACCATTGATTTGAGACCTTTCTTCATTTCTAATGTAAGCAGTCTAGATCAATTATAAATATGTATAAGTGCTAAATGTGCTATGAATTTCCCTCTCAGTACTGCTTTAGCTGCGTCTTAACACTGTGGCTTTTGTATTTTCATTTTCATTTGGTTCAATGCATTTGTATTACCTTTGAGATTTTTTCTCTGATACATGGGTTATTTAGAAGTGTGTTGTTTAATTTCCAAATGTTTGAAGACTTTTCTGTTGTCTTTCTATTATTGATTTCTGGTTTAATTCCTTTATGGTCAAGGAACACACTATATGATTTTTATTATTTTAAATTTGTTGAGATTTGTTTAGTAGCTCAGTATATGGTATATATTGATGAGTGTTTCAGAAGAAATTGAAAAATATGTGTATTCTATGTTGCTGATGGCAATTCTGTGACATATCCTGTGACAATATTCTAAAATGTCAATTAGATCCTGTTAGTTGATGGTGTTGTTCAAGTCTTCTATATCCTTGCTGACTTTTAGTCTAGGAGTTCTATCAATTACTGACAGTAGGGTGTTGACAGACCCCAAGGTAACTATTGATTTGCCTACTTCTCATTTCAGGTCTGTCACTTTTTGCTTTATATATTTTGATGTTTTGTTGTTTGGAACATGCACTAAATTTAGGATAGTTATGTCTTCCCAGTGGATTGATCCTTTTATCATTATATAATTTCCCTCTTGGCCTTCAGTGATTTTCTTGGCTATGAGTCTACTTTATATAATTTCATATAGACACTCCTGATTTTTTTTTTTTGAGACGGAGTCTCACTCTGTCACCCAGGTTGGAGTGCAGAGGCATGATCTCAGCTCACTGCAACCTCCGCCTCCCAGATTCAAGTGATTCTCCTGCCTCAGCCTCCCAAGTAGCTGCTATTACAGATGCATGCCGCCACACCTGGCTACTGATTTTTTAATTACTACTTATACAGTATATCTTTTCCCATCCTTTTAATTTCAATCCATATATGTCATTGTAATTTAAGTGAGTTTTACATAGACAGCATATTGTTGAATCATGTTTTTGTGGGTTTTTTAAAAATCCACTCAGCCAATCTCTGTCTTTAATTAGTGTTATAAGCCATTTACAATTAGCATAATTATTGACATATCAAGGCTTAAATCTTCCATTTTATTATTTGTTTTGTTTGTTCCTCTGCCTCTCATTCTGCTTATTTCCTTTTTGCATTACTGTGGCTTACTTGAATATTCTTAAGGATTCTACCTTGATTTATTCACAATTTTTTAGTATTTGCCTTTTACAGTTTTCTTATCAGTTGCTCTTTGTATCTCAGTATGCAACTACACTGCACCATGGTCTACTGACATCAGTGCCTTGCCACTTCGAGTAAAGCATAGAAAGTTCACTTTCACTTAGTTCTCTTACACTCCATACTTTCTAAATCCAATTGTCGTAAGTATCCTCTATATATAGAGAGCGCCACATGAGGAAAAGGATACTTAGCACGATTTTTACTCATTTCAATGTTGTTCTTTCCATTTTGAAGCCCTAAGCCTTCTTCTGTTATTATTTCATTTCTGTTTAGAGAAATTCCCTTAGCTGTTATTTAAGAGTGGTTTTGCTAGCAACAAGGAAAGGAGATGAGGGGAGGAGAGAGGAGTAAGACAGGGGAGGAAAAAGGAGAGAGGAGGGAAAGAGAAGAGGAAAAGCAAAAATAGCAGTTATAGAAAAAAGCAGTTAGATAAGGAAGAGAAAGATTGTATCTAATCTTTAGCAGGATTCCTAAAATCAGGTATTCAAAGTGACTGTCTTAATAAGTATGGTGCAGACCAGCCCAGCAGGATTCATATCTAATGCATCTTCATTTAAGCAAACATATCAGCAGAATATAGAAGCTGAATGATGCTTCTTGCAAGGCCTAGAGCTCACAGAGACTGCTTCTCATGGAAAGACAGGCTTCATGTGTGTACCAGAGAGAGCAATAACCTTTGTCCTGCATTCACGTCTGCAGCATCCATGTGGGTTGGGCCCAAATCTATAGGCTAATATTTTACCATATTCTCTTTACGGAGTCTTCTTATTGAGAATGAGAATTTCCATCTGCATACTAAAGGTTTCAGTTTATGTTGTTTGCAGGCTGTTAGGTACACTTTTGAGTGATGAGCGTTTTATCCTACGGAAGGCAAGTTAATGTAATTTCATCAGCTAAAACAGCACCAGGAGCACCACTGCAGTTCATGATCATGATTTAAGATTTTGATTATGAGATTTGTGCAAACATAAAACTCATATAACCCTGTAAGCATTTAACAATTTTTAATTAGACTTTTAAGTTTATGGACGCACATGCCATTGTAAGAGGCATTACAGAAGTGCCCACATACCTCATACCCGGCTTCCCTCCATGATAACAACTAGCAAAACTAGAGCACACCATCACAACCAGAATATAGACACTGGTGCCCTCCACCCACCTTATTCAGACCAGAATATAGACACTGGTGCCCCCACCCACCTGATTCAGACCAGAATATAGACACTGGTGCCCTCCACCCACCTGATTCAGACCAGAATATAGACACTGGTGCCCTCCACCCACCTTATTCAGATTTCCTGTTTGACTTGTTTCCTTGTCCGTGTGTGTGTGTGTGTCCGTGTGTGTGTGTGTGTCCGTGTGTGTATGTGTGTGTGGGATTGCGTGTGTGTGTGTGTAAGTGCATGTGTTTAAATCTGTGTAATTTTATCACAGGTGGAGGCTTGTACGTCCACCATCACTGTGAAGAACACAGAACATCCGGTCACCACAAGGTCCCCATGTTGTCCCTTTCATAAGCACACCCCCCTCCCTCCCATCCCCAGCCCCCAATCTCTAACCCATGACAACCACTAATCTGTTCTCCATTTCCATAGTTTAGTCATTTCAAAAATGTCATATAAAAGGAATAAAAGGCTGGGCGTGGTGGTTCATGCCTGTAATCCCAGCACTTTAGGAGGCAGAGGCGGGCGGATCACGAGGTCAGGAGATCGAGACCATCCTGGCTAACATGGTGAAACTCCATCTCTACTAAAAATACAAAAAAATTAGCTGGGCGTGGTGATGGGTGCCTGTAGTCCCAGCTACTCTGGAGGCTGAGGCAAGAGAATGGCGTGAACCTGGGAGGCGGAGCTTGCAGTGAGCCGAGATAGCACCACTGCACTCCAGCCTGGGTGACAAAACAAGACTCTGTCAAAAAAAAAAAAAATAGGCATAAAAACATTTTGGAGGCAGGTGTGGTGGCTCACTCCTATAATCCCAGCACTTTGGGAGGCTGAGGCAGGTAGATTTCTTGAGGTTAGGAGTTCGAGACCAGCCTGGCCAATATGGTGAAACCTCATATCTACTAAAAATACAAAAAAATTAGTCGGGTGTGGTGGTGCATGCCTGTAATCCTAGCTACTCTGGAGGCTGAGGCACAAGAATCACTTGAACCTGGGAGGCAGAGGTTGCAGTGAGCCGAGATCAAGATTGCATCACTGCACTCCAGCCTGGGTGACAGAATGAGACTCTGTCTCAAAAAAAAAAAAAAAATGGGACTGGCTTTTTTCATTCAGCATGATTCCCAGGAGATTTATCTAAGTTGTGTATACAGATAGTTCATTTCCTCTTATTGTTGAGCAGTGTGTATGACCATGGTGTGTTTAACCATTCACCACTGATGAACACCTGGTCTGGACTAATTCCAGTGTGGAGCTATTATAAATAAAGCTGCTATAAACATCCATGTACAGTTTTTTATGCAAACATAAATTTCCATTCCTCCAGGATTAATGCCCAAAAATGTGACCTCTGGGTCATGTGGTAGTTGCATGTTTAGTTTTATAAGAAACTGCCAAACTGTTTTCCAGAGTGGCTGTAACATTTTACTTTCCCACCAGCAACGTATGAATGATCCAGTTTCCCTACATCTTCACCAGCATTTGGTGTGGTCACCACTTTTCAATCAAGCCATTCTGCCAGGTATATGGTAACATCTCACTGTAGTTTTAATTTGCATCTCCTTAATGGCTAATGACATTGAACATCTTTTCATATGCCTATTTGCCAACTGTATATCATCTTCAGTGAAACATCTTTTCTTGTCTTTTGCCCGTTTCTAATGGTATTGCCGACTTTGTTACTAAGTTTTGAGAGTTCTTTATATTTTTTTAGACATAAGTCCTTTGCCAGACATGTGGTTTGCAAATACTTTATCTTAATCTTGAGCTTCTCATACCCTCTTAACAGAGTCTTCTGCAGAACAGAACAGCTTTTAATTCTGATGAGGTCTGATGTCTGCATTTTCTCTTTTATGAATTGTACTCAGCATCACATCTGAGAACTCCCACACCATGTTCTAAAAAGGTGACCTGTCCTCCACTGAATTCCTTTTCCACCCTTATCAGAAATCAGCTGGGACTCCATGTGAGTCTACTTATGGAGGATCTAAATTTTATAACTCAATCTCAGGGATAAGTTAAAAAATCAGGCCCCTGGAGCCCAGCGGAGTACACACGTGCCTGCAGTGGTCTGCCCAAGCGTGGGGCCGACACATAGCTCTGTGGCCTCTTCCCGATGGGCAGGGTTTGGGGACAGGGGTCCTCCGGCTCTTTCACAACTGCTTTAGGTTCCTGTCCCCACTGTGTTTTGTCCAACACAAAGCTGCCTTCTTAGGAGTCTGCCCCTTGTCTGAAGGGAGAAGCAGGGTATAGAAGGGATGCAGTGGTGGAGTAAGCGCCGTCAGGAGTCAACCAGGGGCAAAGTGTCTGCACACAGCCTTGCCGCCTCTCCTGGGCCAGCCCCTGGGCTCTCTTGCCCAGGGTGGCAAGCAGGTTCACTGGTCTCCGAGTCTCAGAAGCTCAGCTCCATCCATTCACGCTCCTCACCTTATCAAATGGAAGAACCTCCACCTGGCAGCAGACTCAGAGCTGGAGGCTTTTCCTTCCAAGGCCACAACAGGGGAGAGAGGCAGAACTGAGGCCTCACAGGTGTAGGGATGAGACAGGACCATCCTTCTGTCATAACTGCACCTGAAGAATGATGTGTGTGCATGCTGACTGTGTTCTCCAAATCGCCACGCAGAAGAGGGCTTCGGTTTTACAGCAACAATGACAAGGGAACATGAAATTTAAAGAGAAAAAGAAAGGATTTAAAAAGGCCAGTGCCCAGGAATAAGGCAGTTCTCTCCTTGTTCTGTTTATACACAGTGACGACAACAGAACTGTACATTTCAGAGGACCACGCAGGCCGACCTAATGAGGCTGGCACTGCAGAGCTCATCTGTGTGCTGCATTGCTTGGCCTCACCTCTCACCAGGGAGCCCAAAATACCTCCATATTTTAAACCACAGGCTCTTTTACACATCAGATCTTGATTCCCCTTCTCTATATGAGTTTTGTTGTGTCATTATAGATCAAGCATAAAACATAAACACAACCTTCTGACAAATGCCACATGCTCAGAATGACTGCTTGAGTCGAGGAAGGAAACTCTAACCTCCTGAAAGAACCTGTTTCCGCATTTTTGAGTAACATGCCTCTGTGAGATTAGCCCTCACCCGCTCAGCTCCACGTCGGGTCATTCTCTGTCCTCCACTTTTGCTCATCCTCCTCTGACCACTGAGTTGCAGTTGGAAGGCTGTGGCTTTCGTGAGGAGTCAATGTTTGCTAATCTATTCCAGCATGCATGCTTCCTGCCCATGATGTCTTCATGGCAATTAAAATAGATCCAGCTCAATCTCCATCATGCAGTTCAGGCTACAAACTAACCTGCTGACAAGGAAGAGAAGTCAGAGAAAGGCAAGGACTGAAGGGTTACTGAGCCAGGAGCACAGCTGGTTTTTATGGGTTGGCAACTTGAGAGGCTGTAGATGGAAGGTTCTGCTTAGATCCAACCATCTTCTACAAGATCTAAGCGGAGTGAGCGAGCCCAGGCTCCCACACCGCGGTGCTCCACAGAGACCTGCCCAGTGACAGAGGACTGGGAGTATGCAAGCAAATCCCTGGAATCCTGGACAGCAACACATTCAGTATAAAAGATTAGATACTTCAGGTATTGCTTGAAGGATACAAACTTGAATTGATTCAATCAAAGCAACATTTGTTGAGCATCTATTGTGTTCTAGGACAAAGCATAGTCTCTATGCTCCGGGAAGATTAAAATGGATTCAGGGAAACAAAAACCCAAATAAATGAATGCCATTCAGCGTAAAGTATCCTGAGAAACAGGTGGTATATAGGGCAGGAGAACCATGACCAGATCACAGCATTTGATCAGGAAATCAAATGCAGTAGCACAATGAAATCTCAATTCTTGTTCCTGAAACCGTAGTCCAATTACAGGATAATGCTTGTTACCTTTGACCAGAAAGACTTAAAATACCATGGAGCAAAACAGAGGCTCCAGGCTCATTGAATTCTGACCACCCCCTTCTCTTGCTTTTCCAGCTGTAACAAGGCTTCCACGCACGCACCCCAGGACGTGCGTTAGAAGAGACTCACTCTTCTGTTACGGTGATTAGCTTTTTTTCATGCAGCTGATAAATGCTTTTGGAGACCTTAGGTTGAAATTTCATCTTTACAAAAAAATCACAATTGATGTTACTTAGAACAGCTGGTGGTTTCCACCACTTACTCCCCAGTGGCCACAGTTCCAATTTGTGGCTAGCCTTGTCTTCAAACATCTCGGGGCAACCAAAATGCGACAGGATGACAGATCGTCCTCTCAATGGACACTGACAAACAAATTAGTGCAAAGATGCTTTCCGCAGCAGAGCAGATGTGTTGAGTTCCATCACATGGAACAAGCAATGAGAAGCTGTCCATGCCCCATCTGTGCCTTTTACTTTTTATTTATCTCTCTCTTTTTTTTTTGCAAACTCCTGATGCACCATCATGACACACAAAGCACCAAGCTTCCGTGGGCACTAAATGACCACTTTAGGGGCATTGTCCTAAACTTTCTTAGGACATAATCCAGGAAATCAGACCACTCAGCAATAGAACTGTCCGGTGGTAAACGGAAGTCATTTGTAAATATCCGCGAGAATCCACACTTTGCCACGAGTCATTAAACACGAGGAAGAGGCCTCAGAGCATGCCATCTCGCGTGGTTTTTGGAGCCACGGCTCTGACATGGTTCTCACAGGGGTGTTCAGCCTTTCTTCTTGCTCTCACACAGGCCCACAGAGCATCCATTAGGCCAGGAGGTAGTTAGGTGTGTAGCCCTAAACGCTTCTTACTCCCAGAGCCACAGGAAAAACATTCATATCCTCTTATCCTTCCTCAGATCAATCAGCAAAGTCTTTGCAGACCTACTACATACATAATGGACCTACTGCATACATAGTGGACCTACTGCATACATAGTGGTCCCACTGTATACGTAGTAGACCCACTGCATATGTGTTGGACCTTCTGCATACACAGTGGACCTACTGCATACATAGTGGTCCCACTGCATACATAGTAGACCTACTGCATATGTGTTGGACCTACTGCATACATAGTAGACCTACTGCATACATAATGGTCATACTGCATACATAGTGGTCCTACTGCATACATAGTGGATCTACTGCATACATGGTGGACCTACTGCATACACAGTGATCTTACTGCATACATAGTGGACCTACTGCATACATAGTGGTCTTACTGCATACATAGTGGTCCTGCTGCATACGTAGTGGATTTACTGTATACATAGTGATCTTACTGCATGCATAGTGGACCTACTGCATACACAGTGGTCTTACTGCATACATAGTGGACCTACTGCATACACAGTGATCTTACTGCATACATAGTGGACCTACTGCATACACAGTGGTCTTACTGCATACATAGTGGACCTACTGCATACACAGTGATCTTACTGCATACATAGTGGACCTACTGCATACACAGTGATCTTACTGCATACATAGTGGACCTACTGCATACACAGTGGCATGGAACTCACTAGGCCCTAGGAAGGTAGCAAAGACAACTAGGCCTAGGAAGAGTAGTCCCTGCCTCCCCTAGAACCTTTGAGTCCCCCTAGCACCATGAACACGCAGCAGCCACACTGCCAGGACCAAGCAGTGCTGGGCAAGGTGGCTGCAGGCTCAAGGCCGGGTGCTCAGGAGCCAGGAGGCCGGAGGGGTTTCTAGGAGGCTTGCAGAATCCCTCAGTGAGAACAGGGGAGTTGAGCTGAGTTTTAAGGAATAAACAGGACTCAGATTAGAGGGGAAAAGAAGGACAGTGATTTCAGGAAGGGAGGGGGCCAAGGGTGTAAGCAATGGCGTGAAGCTGGGACAAGGGCCCGGGCCAGGACTCCAGCTTAGCGAGGGCTGGGAAGGCGGTGGCAAAGGTGGGAGCTGAGCTGGAACCCAATGGCCATGGCCACCTGTGGAGACTCGGGGACTCGGAGCAGAGAGACTGCTGGCCAAGGGTCCCCTTCAGTGATGTAAGCTCCAGGAGAAATGCACAAGGCAAATACCTCTCTGAGTCTCCATAAAATGGGAACACAGGCTCACAGAACATCTAGCTGCAGGGCTCTCGGCCATAAGAACCAGACAGGTGGGTGCCACTGCTCCCAGGATCCAAGCCATTGTTTCTAGGGAGACTCGGTGGGCTCCATCTGCAAAATGGAGTGGAGAGTGATGGGGTAGACCCCAGGCGGAGTTTGCGTGTGGCCATAGGAGGTACGCTAATGCCCTTCATACCTGGGTGCCGCAGGCCGAAAGCCCAGTGGATCCTTACAGTCTGCACAGTGTATACAGCCTATGCTTGGTGACACATTGACAGATGGGTGGTCATTGTTACAGCAATTTATCAGAATTCACTGGTCAGCCTTACCCAAATAACTGAGGCACTGTGTCAATTTTGCACAGATGTGTAGGTATCCATGGTTTCCAGAGTAGATGGCTCCCAGGTAAGGGACATGTGACCTGCAGGCTGGGGTCACCAAGGCCATTGTGACCTACGGGCTCCTCTCCCTGCCCCAAGACCAGTGCCGTCAGCTCAGCCACAGGGCACTGCCTCTCACTGTGCCTTCCCCTCTGGTGGAGTGTCCAGGTGGGTTGAGGTCCACCTGTGCCCTCACCTGCAGCCCCGGTCTCCAAAGCGTGAGCCGCTGGTCTGGCCTGAAAGTGTTGACAGTGCCTCCCTCTCACTCCCGAGTCCTTATTCCACCCTCGGACAGCTGTCTCTGTAAATAAATTTACCGAATCAGAGCACTGAAAACTCCTGACCTTATATTAAGTCTTCCAGGATTTATCAGAAAAGCATAAAGCTGTGAAATATCCTATGTGGCCTCATGGATTCCATATATTTTGAATCTTTCCTTTGATGTACCTTGACGTCCCCGTTCTATTCCTCTTGCCAACCTTGGCTTAAAAACTCGTGGAAGTTAAGAGCCAAGTCTGTTGCCAGGGATATGTCCATGGCTTTGATGGGGGATGTTGCCCATTGTTGGGCCTTTTGGTGGGGGCTTCCCTAACTCACAGCAGCTTTCAGATGCAGGCACCTCAAGCCTGCCACTCTGCCACTAGAGTAGGTACCTGGGGCTGCTTCTCCTCTGTATTCTCTTCAAATAACCTGAGATGGAAATAGCACATGCAATGGGTACATAGCTCTTCCTCAGCAGACCCATCAAGGAACAAATACAATCATCCAAAATGTGCTTCCTTCTCCCTGTTTCAGTCTAGGAGCTCTCCGAGTGTTCTAACTGGATTTAGATTAGACCACCTCCCTGTCAACATGTTCCCTGCCCTGGGGTTCACTTTAGGAGGCAATGGGGTGAATCTTACAATGGAAAGGACAAAACAAACAGTCAACACTAACAGCGTGGACTCTCCTGACTTCCACAACAGCAGCCCCATCTGAGCATCGTGAGTCTTAACTCTCAGCATGTGCATTTTATAAAGGCAGGATTTTTGTCCACTTTGTTCACTGCTATAGTCCCAGGGCCCAGGATAGTGTCTGGCCCACAGTAGGTATGAATAAACATTTATTCAATGTGAATAAGACTCTGTAATGAAAGAGAATCTAGAGAAGAATAAGTTCAAATTGCTCCCTGACCCCCAACCTCCCACTGCTTTTAGGAGTAAGCCCATTGTTACCCAAAAAGATTTAGTGACTTCTGTGAAATCGCAAGAAGCCAGCCTGGAACCTGACCCTGAGACACTGAGACCCTTTAATCTCCTCACAGCTGAGCGTGGGTGGGGTTAGGTCCTGCAGATCCTGACCAGCCACCTGTCCCACAAACCAAGCAGCAGACAAACACTATGGAACCGACGGGCAGGTGCACAGGCTGTGCTTTGACTGTAACGCTCCAGTGCAGAGGGCCCCTTTGGTCCGGGTTAATCAAGGCAGGTCTGAAGGAGCCCCCGCCCTCCTCCAGCCGGTGCCCCCACCATCCTGGGGACCTGACTCACATCAGTGCTCTGATCAGAGGTGAAGGGCGGGAGAGCTTCGAGCTCCCCCTGGAGGCGAGTGTTGCACAAACACACTAGATGGAGAGCAGTGGAGGTGTAACACCACCCTGTGAGAGCAGAGAGAGGAAGGAGAACCGAGCGGCGCAGGGCAGGCAGGAACATTTCGCTTTCATTGGGAAGTGTCCGTCTTCTCTACTTGCCGGTTTGCTCCGGGGTGTGTGCAATGCAAGCTCCTTTGGAAGCATGCCTTACAAGACATAGCACTGCTTCTTTCAGGACGGGGCTCTAATTTGTGGCTAGCCCTGGGCGGGCGTTAATCAATGTGGTCCTCGAGAATTACATCTTCTCCTGCTTCTGTGCCCTGGGTGCAGAGCCTGTGTTCTCAGCGGCAGGCAGCGGCTCCCTCTCTGTCAGCGCTGTGCTCACTCGCTCTCTGTTTCTCAGCCGAGCTATTTCCTTTCCTCTGCCTTTTTTTTTTTTTTTTTTCCCTCTTTCTGGAAGATGAGGACCTGCCATCATTTATCAAGGATTTGATTCTTCATCATGAAAAACCATGGTCCTGAGTCCAGCTTCTATTTGGTAGATAGAGACAGATCAGCTTCAACTCTAAATTTTATAAACCTCTTATAATAAAATCCCTCGGATGTGAATGTGCTGTCTCAATAATTAGATGAATACAGCCAACCACTGGTTACCAGCATGATGAAGGATCTGATCATATTATTTTCCGTGGCTGCGCTGGCCTGACAATCCCCCACCACATATCTGTCTGTGCTACTCTTTGTCAGCCTTACACGTAGCTGTCCATGTAAAAATACTTACAAAGTAACTGCTCAAACATGAAAATCACAAGGCAAGAGCTCATTAAACAAAGAAACGGCATGAGCTGTGCTGTGTAGTAGATTAGAACTTTAAATATTTCCTGCTAGCAGGTAAGTTATGAGGCCTTTAAATATGTATTATTATTCACATTTAATCATGCACCGAATGTTCCTGCTTAATTGCTAAATGTTTTCTCTTGTGCTTAAATTTCATGCCACAGATTATTAAAAATTGACTTTACAATATTTATTTTACTTATCTTCTCAAGCCAGACTGGGCATAGCTGATAGATTTGGTAAATTATTAATTTTTAAAGGCAATTTGTGCTACATTTTACACTCGGATGATGTCCAGAGAGACTCTGATTTCTAGTCCAAAACTTACAGAACTGAATCACTTTGATTCATCTTTTATCTAAAGACTCTTAAAACACATATGCAGAGATGTGAGAGCTAACGAATCCCTCCGATGTGATGTGAAAAGCTAACAAGCGCTTAGTTAACATTTAGATTCATGTGATGAAGGAGGAAAACTATCATTTCCAGTAGGTTATCTGAGCAATAACCTTGGACGATATAATTCATTCTGTTATATAACAAGAACTGCTTAGAGACATCATGAGACTTTAATAAAACCCACAAACATCTCTATATCAGGCTTAATTTACTGCAGCACCAACCATCTGGGCTTACCGTCCCTCTGGGTACCGGTTCCGCCCAGTGAGGCTGTGCCCTCCATAAAGTGGCCCGTGGTTTTGCTATAACTCGGTTTACATAGGGGAGCATATGCATGAGCCAAGATAAACTTCTCATATGGATTCTGCTGGATTTTTTTAAAGTGTTTGATAGTAAGTTTCCACTGTCCATACATTAAATTCTAAGCTAAAATTATATATTAAATTGGGAGTAGATTCTTAGACACCAAAAAGATAAAATGATCAATAAAATGAGGTCAGGAGTTCGAGACCAGCCTGATCAACATGGTGAAACCCCATCTCTACTAAAAAAATACAAAAATTAGACGGGCGTGGTGGCGGGTGCCTGTAATCCCAGCTACTTGGGAGGCTGAGGCAGGAGAATCACTTGAACCTGGGAGGTGGAGGTTGCAGTGAGCCAAGATCATGCCATTGTGCTCCAGCCTGGGCAACAAGAACAAAACTCTGTCTCAAAAAGAAAAAAAAGACACATCACTGTACATTTTTGTGTATATTTAGGCTCCTGCTTTAGTTTCATTTTTCTGAAAACCAGTGTTGTCTAAACATCCCTTTTCTTAGCCACACTATGCAACCAAGATCCAGGGTTCCAAGTGAACCCTTTTCTTTCCTCGACCATGCAGCCTACATACCAAAGGGGCGCAGGACACACTTGGCTGGTTTCCGACAGCACGCACAAAACAGAAAAGGGAAATTTTCCAAGACAACTGACAAAAATCAAGACATAGATTTTTTTTTTTCTCAGTTATCCTGCAGAAACTTTGAAAGGCTTGATGTATTTGCTGAACTTTGGAATGCTCACTGAGTTTAAAATCACTATTGTATCAGTGTTGCTCGGCCCAAAACTAGCTAGGGCACTGAGGAGGAAATAGTCTGGATAGTCACATAATAATACGGACTACTCTGGCCAGTCTAGAGCCCTGTGTGAAAGATAATAGCGGAAATAATTTCCTCAAGACACCAGAAGCTTCGGACAACTGCTTTTTACTGCGGGCTGTTTTTCCCCTTGTCAATGCCATTCCAATTATTTTGTTGGTGCGTGGAAGGAAATTAGTTAAGTGACATTTGAGTATCAGAGCTTCTCCTTGGTACCTTGGGCCTCGTCTGCCTCTAGCCAGAACCCACATACAACAAGGCTCCCCCGTGGCGTCTCGGCAGGGGATCTGCCAGAGCAGCCCTGGAGAAAGGAGATGGGACTGCCCGGGACAGAGCAAAGCCACAGGGCAGGTCCCCGCTGCATCTTAAAGCTCGAGGCCTGACCCTGAGCCCACCGTCTTTCCCGGGAACTCCAGGGGTGCTCATAGCCGACTTGAAATTCTAAGGAGACACTTCCCCACACCAGGACTAGGCTGCTTGGTTTCTGTGGACACTTTAACAAAACACCATAACTAACACGATGAAGTTGATCCTAGATGGGCGACTCCCTTTGGTTTACGGAAACGTCCCTCCACCGACAGAGGAGGTGCAATTGTGAACCTCCTTGCCTGGGCCGTCTGCTCCAAAGTCAAGTCTCCCCAGACATCTCAGCAAAGGATGTGGAGTGACCTTCATCGGCTTTTAAATGTACTGCAAGGGGCTTATTCTTTAAAACTTCTAAACATTGTGATCTGTAAACAAATATGCAGATCTCTGTCCGCCATTTTCCCCATGCACCCTGGCGTCTGCTCTTCCTGCCTAAACTTTGAGGTGCCTTGGGGCCCACAGCGCGTGGCCTCAACGCACATGGCTGCCACTTGCCATGCAGGCATCTACTGTGAGCCCTGGAGGGGCAGCCATGGCACACCCTAAGAAGCACGCAGAGCCCAGGCCAGGCAGGGCGCTGAGTCCAGAGGAGTGAGGCCCACCCCAGGAGGTGCAACGCCGGCCCATAGCACAGGAGTGAAGAGTGGGGAGGCAAAAACCACCCAGCCACCAATACAGAACCCAGACAAAAGAGAGCACAGACTCCTGTCCATGTGTCAGGCAAACGGTGCAAACTCCACACCTGCCTGTTTTGATGTGATTTTAGGAATATCACTTACTCCACTGTGTTCGTTCACGTGTAAAATAGGAATGATAATAAAATCCATCCTTCCACAACCCTTCATCCTTCTTTTGAGTCAGTAAGATAATTAATGCAGGGCAATTAGCAGAGTGCCTTAGAAATCGCTCATCAGATCTCTTCCCGACCCTCTGGGCTGCACTCCCTGGTCATCTACCCTGACCGACTTCCTGACCATCTAGTCTATACTTCCTGACCGACTGTTCTATACTTTCTGACTGTCTGTTCTGCACTTCCTATCTAGTTTGCATATCCTGACCATCTAGTCTATACTTCTTGACTGTCTTGGTCTACACTTCTTGACTGTCTTGGTCTACACTTCTTGACTGTCTTAATCTACACTTCCTGCCCATCTAGTCAACACTTCCTGGCCATCTGGTCTATACTTCCACACCATCTGATCTACACTTCCTGGCCATCTGGTCTATACTTCCTGCCCATCTATTATATCCCACACTTTCTGGCCATCTGATCTATGCTTCCTGACTATCTGGTCTACACTGCAGGCCACCATCCACACAGTTTCTCAAACACTCCTGCAGTAACAACTCCTAAGCCGGGGGGTCTGATGTCTCCACATGGAATGTTTCAGGGGGACCCGTGCTGCACCCACCTCCCTTCTCAGCTGTGGATGGTCATGCCCCAGGCCGACACCTTCTCTCTCCCACATCAGCAAGCTGGGCGCTGCCAATGTGAAAAGGTTGGCTGACCTAATGGGGTTTCACCACGTGACTTACTGGCAGGGATCTGGCTCTCATGGAGACTGAGTGAGTTCATGGGCCCCATTCTCTGGAGTGGAGCACCTGGTTGACTGCCATCATCCCAGACCCCACAAGGGTGGTGATGGAGCCAGGTGCATGGTACGGACCTGTGTGCATCAGGGCAGCCTGGGTGAGAAACTCCAGGGCCCCTGCCTGTGCAGCCTCACAAGGGCCTTTCCTGGATCCCAGCCAGTTACCTGCTCTAGCTCTCCCCACGGCCCATCCACAGGGAGGCTGTGAATCAACAGAGGGAGAGAGACCCACAGGGGCCTGCCAATGGCCAGGCGCTCACTCCTCTGGGCCTCCTGTGCTGACTTTGGACCCCAGAGTAGGTTAGAGGAGGAACCAGCTATAACTGAAGTGCAATAGAATGATTGGCGTCCCCTTAACAAACACCCACAGGCACACTCACCCCAGTTGGGCCTTCATTTAGTTTCATCTCTCAACTTTTGGCAGCATGAGTTGCCCAATAATTCATTTATTCAAAAATATCTTCTATTTGCCAAATCCTGTCTTACATGCAAATGTACATGTGTGTACATATCTGTGTGTGTGTGAATAAGTGTTTATGAATATGAACCGCATATGTTCATGTGATTCACAGACCAGTCCATCTAAGAACCTGCAGGAGGGAAATAAGACAGGCAATCACAAGAAGTAATGTCTACTTAGATCTTCACGGATGGCACAGTGATGTCATGTGTACTGCTTGTTAAGCCCCATGGCGGGTCTTGAGTTTGGTCCTATTGTTATTTCCCATTTATGGAGTGGTCTAGAGATATTCACCCAGTAGGCTGTGATCACACGGCTGGTGAGTGGTAGAATCAGCCTCATATCCAGGCTCTATAATATGACTACCCTAGGAGTTCCATCAATGCTCAGAGAAGAGAGACACTACTGCTTTAGGGGCAATAAATAGGGCTGCATGGAAGAGGTGGCAATTGAGAAAGTGATAATTTTTCACATAAGATGATAATTTTATTTTGACTCTATGATCAATAGAATCAAACAAATAACTTTTCTAATTTAGTTTTAGCCTTAATGTAAATTAAATTATTTTTAATTTTAATAAATAGCTAATCTGCTTCATTATGGCAGTTTTCTTATTTGCATAGAATTGACTTGATGAAATGACTAAGAAATAGCCAATCAAATTATCATTTCATGACACATACTCAAACAAAAAAGTAATTGAAGTCTTAATTAGAGAGAGTCACCCTATTCCCAAATATTTCTTACCATGCGGAAGAGGTGTCGTGTTTATCTGGCCAACTCATGTATCAATCATCCATTCATCCATCCACTCATCAACTCATCTGTCATCCATTCATCCACCATCTATTCATCCACTCATCTATGCATCTCTCCATATACCCTTTCTTATATCCACCCATCTATCCATGATCCACCCATCCATCCCACCATCCATCCATCCATCCATTTCACCATTTATCTGCCCATTCTATCGTCATATACCCACCCAGCCATCCAGCATCTAACCACTCATGTACCCTTGTACCCATCTATCTTCCCATCCATCCACCCATCCACCCATCCATCCACCATCTGTTCACCCACCCATCTATACATATACCCATCCTTATATCCATCCACCATACATCCACCCATCTACCCATCATCCCTCTGCCCATCCATTCACCATCCATCCATTGGTCCACCATCCATCCACCCACCCATGATCCACCCAAACATTCCCCAATCCATCCATCCATCTATCATCCATCTATCCATCCATCCATCCATCCATCCACCTTCTATCATCCTATCCATTCACCATATAGCCACCCACCCATCCACCATCCATCCATCCACCTATCTATCCATTCATTCACCATTCCTTTATCCATCTATCTAACCATCCATGAGCCACTCATCCAGCCCCCATCATCCACCTAGCCAGCTGTCTCTCTATCCATCCTTCTGTCCATCTGTGTTGGGGTGATCAGACCCAACACCAGGTCATGGGGGTGACAAAGTCCAGTGGAGTCAAAGGATTGAGAAAAAGACAGTTTGAGAAGTAAAGGTGGGACCAGGGGCCATCGTGATCATGGAGGCTGCAAAGGCCCCAAGCTCTGGGAGCACATGCTATTTATTGGTAATCCAACAAAGAAACAGGTGATGAGAATGTGGAGGTTGAAAGGGCATGTTGCATTAAGCACGTGATTTACAGCTGTGACAGTTTAGCATTTGCTCTGCTACCTGAGATAATGGAGAGCAGGTTCTTTTCACTCAAGATATAATCGATCCTGGGAGAGCAAGGAGCAAGGAGTCAGCAAGTCTAGACACATTCCAGAGCCACGAGCCCTGGATTCTATCCAAGCCACGAGGGATTTTATGCCCTGGGCTTAGATTACGGTACGTCAGGGTAGCCTTCCACCCTTTAGCACAGAGCTTGGTGTTCCAAAGACCACAAGGGGTTTTAGACCCTGGCCACCAGACATGTTCTAAGACTCTTTTACATTATGTCAGACATGCAAGCACTGCCTCAGCTTCTCCCGACACTCAGCTTTTCCCAATAATCTGCCCATCAGCTAAGTGCTTACTGTATTCCCCCCATCAAGGAAACGAAGCCTGGGTTGGGGGTAGGTTGAGCAATTCCAGGACAGTGAGGATAACTGGCTGGAGGCCATGGCTGTGCAGGGCAGCCCCCTGAGCCGAGCTGGTGAGGAAAGGAGTATCAGGGAGGCTTCCAGGGAGTGGGACCTGAACAGCGTCTGAAGAACGAATAGAGCCCCTGATGTGGGTCTGGCACCCAGCGAGCACACATTGTTTTTTGGGCTTCACTGAGAGGACATCACCGTGAGACCTGCAATTGCAAGACAAGGATTTCTTTACCTGCTTAACTGAACTCATCCCCAGTGTTCACTGGGTATCGCAAAACTTTTCTATCCATCATGGCAGAATGGATGCATAATTTACAAATCGGTTTTTACTAAAGATTATTTGGGTTTTGACCAAAAAATTAAAACGATGAATTTGTCATTGTGCCCGGGAGCATCATCAGCGCTCAGTCTGTAAGATTCTCAAGGTGAGGCTGAGAGGTCGCTGGGCAGAACAGAAGGCCCGGCCCCAGGGGCAGGGCCTGAGTGAGAATCTTGGCTTCCCTGCCCTAGGGTTCACGGCTGCGCTTCCTGTGTCCAGGTTTCTTCTCTGCAAAACAGGGCCGATAGGAGGACCCTTTCATAAGATGGTTAGACCCGAGCAGGTGCACGACACAGGCTGTGTGCACTTCAGCTGTAATTTATGGTATTCCAGTTACACAAGCCATTGCTGACATTGGCTGGGTCACTGTTAGGACCCACATGTTTTTTGTGTGAATTCAAGACCGAGAGCTTGGGCATGATGAAATAGACTTTCCTGCTCTGGAACTCTGCCTCCATTCTGCGAGACCCGACGCCGTTTCTAACCACAGAGCACCCCCTTCCCCAGTGCTGTGTCAGTGTCGGGATTGGGGCTGGGACATTGGCTGGGGACCCCCTTCCTGCACCATCTCCCACTCATGTTCTCACTGGGACCCCTGCTGCCCTGGCTGGGCCCTGCGCCCTCACCATACAACAACTGCTCAAGTGGTTCCTAGGCTGTCAGCCACCTGGGTGGATTCTAACACCCGTCTCCTGCCTGCAGACCGTTCTAGACCATTCTAGAGTATGCATGGCTGGGCTCTGCCAAGCTCCTGTGGCTCCTCTGCTGAGAAGCAGCCATGCCCAAATCCCCATGGAGCCCACAGCCCGAGGGCCCATCCACCCTCCCGCCAGCCCTGAGGCAGTGGGCAAGACCCCTCTCCATTAGGGTGGGCGGCTGGGGACCAGCAGGGAAATGAACCAAGGAAAAGGAACCTACGTTAAAGTCACAAAAACACTGCGGGTGGATTTCCTTATTTGATATTCAAGACAATTCTATGAGGTAGCTGCTATTTTTATAGTAAAGAGGAGAAAATTGAGACGTAGAGAAGCAACGTAGCTTCCCACAGGTGGTGCGGGAGGATGAGCCCCGAAAGCCGTGCCCCCACACCCACCTGCCCCGCCCAGGTCTGAGCAGGGATGCACCTGGCAACCACAAATTGACTCATTACGTGGTCCATTACCCTCGGAAGCCTTCAGTTGCTCCTGAGTTGATTACCTGAAACGCGGTCCGGCCCATCCTCTGGCAGATATGAGGATTATTTTGTGCTTTATGCGTTGGCTCAAAGGAAATATTTTCTGCTGTTTTGGACTTTTTTGAATGTATGGATATAATTGCTTTAAAATAAAATAGAGAACTATTTTAAAAGCAAAAATAATAATAATAATAAAGTCACAACCTCACATAGCTAAAGCCCAGGTTTCATTTAAACATGGATTTATAAATTTTTTAAATTATTTGTTCAAAAAAAAAACACATCTTTTAATCAACTGTTCAGTAAAGACTTCAAGGCGATACAGTAAACAGACAAAAGAAGTCCAGCTCTTTAACAGGGTTTGCGACTTCCTTTTAAAGACCCGAGGGTTTCCTGGGAACTGAGCCATCCTCTAACCAGCCCCGAGGTCTCCGGGCTCGCAGGATGCAGCACGCTCCGAACCCGTCCAGCATCGTCCCGAGCCTCAGCTCAGCGGAGAAAAGGGCCCTTGACAAGGCACAGACATCTTGACCACATCCTTCCCCAACGCATGCCCTGAAGTCTGAGAATTTCTCGGAAGACAAGCACTCTCCTCAAATTCCTGATAACTTGACCGGGGCAAGAAGGGAATGAACACATCAGGCCTCTCTGCTCCTCTCAGCCTGATGCGTCGTTTCTAAGTCCACTCTGAGTAAAGGCTGTTTTAAATAGCAGTTTTCAGGTCTTTATGTATAGAAATCTATACTGCTAGCTGAAAGCAATGTCTTTCAAATTTTGGTTGAAAATGCAGAGAAACAAAATAGCTTTTGCTGCAGAACTGTGTGTATTTATCAAGCGCTGAGGGGCACTTGCTGTAGGTCAGGCACTTGCGTCTACGACCTTCGTAAATGGCGTTTCAGGAAGCACCTACAGTGGCCTTGCACGGATGGTTCGATCCGCTTCTTGCCGGCGGAGCTCACACCCGACACACTGTGGGGTCTCTGTGGTGTTGCTGCAACGTGTCCACTCAGCACGGACCGCCCGTCCCCACCACCCACCCAGGACCACATCTGTGGTGCCTGTCGCTTTAGTGAAGCTAACCTGGCCCAGGGATACAGTCAGAAAGTCACCTGAGGAGGAAAAAGCTTCAAATTCCCGCTTTGGGTTCACAGAATCTTGGGTCCAGCAGTAACTTGGGTAAGAGTTAGGAGAACATTGCTTCTGGAAGCCCTGGTTTCTCCTGAACCTCCCACTGGTGGCCTGGAGAGGACGTGGTGCTGTGGGCTGGTCCCGCCCTGGGCTGGTGGGGACGGGTGGGCTAACGACGGAGCCTCCGGTGCACTTGAAGGAGCAGCACTGTGTTCCCCCGAAGCCAGGGTTGCCCCGCAGCCTCACGGACGCACCTGTGCCTCAGCCACCATGCAGCCTGGAGCAGACAGGTGCAGAAGGCCTGAACCAGGCCCCTGAGATTCTCTAGGCCCACGGAGGCTGGGGAGGCATCTCACCTGCCCACCTGGCCCAGGAGAGACAAGGAAGCTAAGGCCGTGTCTGGATGGCCGTGCCCTGGTCCCAAAGGCTGCAGAGAGGAGAGCAGGATGCAGTTTCCCTGCAGGCGCCCTGAGGGAGGAGCGCAGACACCAGCACAGCATGGAGCAGACCAAGGACAGGTCTTCCTGCTCTGCACCAAAGTCCGGGATCTGAGACTCAGCCCTTCGCCTCCAGGAGGACAGGGCGCAGCTCGGGAGAGGGAGAGGCCGTAACTGACTGGACTGCCCTCCATCCGGGCAGCTGAAACAGCTGCTCACCAAGTGATCAGGCGGCACTCACAGACGTCTCAAGGCAGAAGCTCAGTGGAAGAAGGTTCGCTTGTTTACGCAGGTAAAATTGCACCGACGATTCCTGCTCATCCCCGTGGTGAATCAAAGCACAGACTGGCTGACCCTGAAAGTGAAGGAGGACAGGGGGTCTTCAAACAGGAAAACCACCGCAGCCGCTGTGGCAGACACCGAGGAGAGGCAGTTGGAGCAGATGCTACACCATCAACAGTTATGTAGACTCCAGTGATCTCCTTTTAACGTCGTAATATTTCTAGAGCAGCAGCCATTTTCTGCTGAATAGGAGCAGGCCTTTAGATTTAATTGACATCTCTGTTGTCTGCCCGCCTGGAGAAGGGAATACATCACTCCTTGTTTTGTTATTTTGCTCTCAGGAAATGAGATTACATTATCTCAGCCTGAGAAGTCCTCTGGCCCAAACCTTTCCATCCCTGATACTGTGCTCGTGGCAGCAGCGAGGAGAATCCTTCCCCATGACCACAGCCAGGCCTCAGCACCACTGACAATCCTTCCCTATGACCACGGCCAGGCCTCAGCACCACTGAGAATCCTTCCCCATGACCACGGCCAGGCCTCGGCACCACTGACAATCCTTCCCCATGACCACGGCCAGGCCCCGGCACCACTGGGAATCCTTCCCCATGACCACGACCAGGCCTCGGCACCATGACCACAGCCAGGCCTTGGCACCACTGACAATCATTCCCTATGACCACGGCCAGGCCTCAGCACCATGACCACAGCCAGGCCTCAGCACCACTGAGAATCCTTCCCTATGACCACAGCCAGGCCTCGGCACCACTGAGAATCCTTCCCTATGACCACAGCCAGGCCTCAGCACCACTGAGAATCCTTCCCTATGACCACAGCCAGGCCTCGGCACCACTGAGAATCCTTCCCTATGACCACAGCCAGGCCTCGGCACCACTGAGAATCCTTCCCTATGACCACAGCCAGGCCTCAGCACCAATGAGGATCATTCCCTGTGACCACGGCCAGGCCTCAGCACCACTGAGAATCCTTCCCTATGACCACGGCCAGGCCTCAGCACCACTGTCAGTCATTCCCTATGACCACGACCAGGCCTCGGCACCACTGAGAATCCTTCCTCATGACCACAGCCACGCCTCAGCACCACTGAGAATCCTTCCCCATGACCGTGGCCAGGCCTCGGCACCATGACCACAGCCAGGCCTCGGCACCACTGACAATCATTCCCTATGACCACAGCCAGGCCTCGGCACACTGAGAATCCTTCCCTATGACCACGGCCAGGCCTCGGCACCACTGAGAATCCTTCCTCATGACCACGGCCAGGCCTCGGCACCACTGAGAATCCTTCCCCATGACCACGGCCAGGCCTTAGCACCATGACCACGACCAGGCCTCAGCACCACTGAGAATCCGTTGCCACAGCGATGGCCAAGCCACACGCCCCACGCAGATGGGGTTCAGGTGGCCACAGAGATGAAACATCTGAAAAGAGAAAAATTCTCTGTTTGGCTGCAGGTCAAGTCAAGTTTGCAGAATGCACTGACGAAGTGGGAGCCCGCCGTCAGGCAGGGCGGGGCGACGAAGGTGGGAGCCCGCTGTCAGGCAGGGCGGGGCGACGAAGGTGGGAGCCCGCTGTCAGGCAGGGCGGGTCGAGGAAGGCAGAGATACCTGCCCCGGGCTGGATGCGGGGGCTCCGTGGGCCAAGCGTGCTTCAGGGGTATGTGGTGTGAACAGAGCATGTCCAAGGGTCCAGGGTAGACTGAGACATGGGCATCAGCCTGAGGAGTGAGCAGGAGCTCATTAGGTCTCCCCAGAGAGCAGCACAGCCGGCCCAGCCTCCTCTGCAATCACTGACGCCACCACCACGGAGCCAGCAGCTCTGGAACACAACCCGGCCAGCCCAGCTGCAGCCACAGTGGGTGAGGAGCCGCGGCCACCCTCATCCTCTGAGCCTGCAGCAGGCGTTGGGTCCCAGGCAGACAGAGCAAGACCCAGGCCACTCCCTGTGTGCTGGTGCAGACACAATTCCCAGCTACCAGTGTGTGGCCGTGGTCTCTCTCAGTCCACAGAGGCTGGGAGGCAAGTGAAATCCAGAGCCCAGTGAACAAAGGATTCACACAGGCTCACCAAGACACACAACAGCCGAGCCTCCCTGGTTACCAACAAGGACAGGTCAAAGCCATAGGGTGACTTTCTGGTTTCCGACGGGCAGCAAGCTTTTAAAATTGCACTCACGGCTGGCAAGGGTTGAGTGAGATGGGCATATTCATGCTGGACGGGTGGCCCTGGGACTCGGTGTGACTGTAAAACTAATTTGATTTTGGAAATCGAGAGCCCTGACATTCTTGACTCCCTTTCGCTCAGCTATTGCATTTCTAAGAGTGTGAACTGAAAGATCATCATAGATGTGGTTCAAGACTCATGTGTAAAGATGTTCAGTGCAGCATCCTTAATAATATGCATATCACATGTGAGCACGTATCTACACAATATCTAAAAACACTGATGCTCCCTGTATATCCAGCAATCTGGGAATGGTCGACCATGCTGTGGGATATATTTTCATTGGAATGTGTTATGTAGACATTTTAACTCGTGTTTTAAAGAATATTTTAGATAATGAAAAATGTTCACAATGTAATATTAAATGGGAAAGGGGATTGCCAAACCATGTAAAGCATGATCTCAGCTTCATTAAGAAGGATGCATGCACCCATATTTACAAATTAAATCCAATTTCTATTCGTCTAATATCTTGCCTCTCAAGCTAAGACAGTATAAAATATTCTGCAAAATAATTAACAGTGTGAGCCCTTGGAAGGTGGGGTGTGTGACAATGCAATTTCCTTTTTAAATATTATTGTATATTTTTATATTTTCTATAATACTGAGATAATTCATTTTAGAGTCAAAGAAAGCATTGGCCTCCAGCCTCCTCACTTCTCTCTTCTGCTGGGAGGCTTTGGGTCTGTCTGCCCAGTTCCCCCCACAGAACAGTCATGCAGAGGGGAAGGAGGGCCTGGGGATGGAGGCCGGGCGAGAGCAACCCCCAGGACATGCTCGGGAGAATCTTCCATCCTGGAGGTGGGGGAGGGCACCACCTTGGGAAGCAGGTTGAGCTCTCTCAGAACACCGTCACTCATCTGATGCCAGGATCTTGAATTCTCAGAAGCCCCAGGAAGATCGTCTCTGCCAGTGCTGGGCTAGGACTATGCCCCGAGGAAGGGCAGCCGGGACTCCTGGGCTGAGGCATAATCCAACAGAATGCAGGCTGAGGCCCCAGGAAGCAATGACTCCCTGCCCCCTACCGTCAACTTCCCCAAGCCTCTGAGTCTCTCTCAACCTGAAACCATTTTTTAAGGGCAGCCTAGCCCTGCAGAGAAAAAGGCCAGTGGGTCACCAATGGGACCACCGCCAGGGGTTAAGCCAGAGACCCCACCCCGGCCGTTGTACCCTCTTCAGGAGTAGCAGTGGCTCAGAAGGACGCCGGAGACGTCGGACCCGGGACCCCTTCCAATGGCACTTGTAGAAGACAGAGGACAGCACAGGAGCTGCAGGTGACTGCAGGTCATCGTCCTGCTTCCCAGGAGTCAGTGGTGCTGCCCGGCTGTTCCTGTGCTGTCCCGAGAACAGCAAATCAGTATGGGGTCCGCTCGGTCTGTGCCAGTCCTGCCACTGTGTCAGGGAACCAGGGAGCCATCAGAGGCTACTCAGTGGACTTTGTAAGCACCTGCATAAAATAACACATTTAATTTAATGCAAGGTCGTAAAAATAAGTGGGCTTTATGGATGCCTGCTTTATGCAGCCGCACAGCCAAAGGAGGAGACGCATCCCCCAGGGCCCAGATCACCAGCGTCCCTGGCCATCCCAAGGAAGGCTGCTTCTGGGGAGGATGGGGATGGGCTGCTTCTGGCGAGGGGGGCATAAGCTCCTCCTCTTTTCCTGCAAGCTGTGGCCACTCCCCCCATTCATCATCTGTGAAGTAGGAAAGCCGGCAATCCTCGTCCAGTCCTGGGACGTGCAGGAATCAGGGCCCCAACTGCAGGGCCAGGGGGTTGACAATGGGGGAAAGGGCGTTGGTGTCATCGAACCCGTGGGCAGCCCCAGATCCACCCTGGCACTCACCTTCACAGCAGTCACAAGGGGTGCCAGGGCTCCCCCGCCAAAGCCTTCTTTATTTCAGACAACCTGGGAAAAGGGAACATCCCTAGCCAACACAGCCCAAAATTAAATTGTCTGGGAGTTCCACCAAAGTTTGAAAGACCCATCAACCCATAGGAGGGAAAGTCAAGGCCAAGTTTATTTCTAGCGACCAGTGGTCCCCAGGTAGGGAAGCCACAGAGATGAAGAAGAAAGGAGACACTTTAGGAGGTGATCCTCTGTGGGCTTCAGTGACCCCTCCAGCCTTCCACGAGGTCCCCCAGGCCACTCTCTCCTTCCCGGGTACCGAGCCCACACGGCTTTAGAGCTGGATGGAAAGCAGGTACCTTGGCAAGGTGATCACAGACAGCAAGTGTCCTGAGAGTGAGGTGTGTCCTTCAGCTCCCTGCCTGAGCCCCTGGGGAGGGCCCACACACAGAAGGAAGCAGGCCCTGGGCTAACCAGACCTGCAAGGAGAGCAGCTGGGTGAGGGCCAGGGTGACATTGCAATCCACAGATCCTTCAGCAAGCTCATCGCAGTGAAAATCCACACCTCCACCATGGCTGGAGATTTTAAAAAGAATAACACATAGCCCAAGTCTACAGGTGAAGGGTGTAATAAACAGGTGTATCTAGGCAAATGGTTTAATAAATGGGTGTATCTTGGCGAAGGGTTTAATAAATGGGTGTATCCAGGGGAAGGATTTAAGAAATGGGTGTACCTTGGAGAAGGGTTTAATAAACAGGTGTATCTTGGCGAAGGGTTTAATAAACGGGTGTATCTAGGGGAAGGGTTTAATAAACAGGTGCATCATGGCGAAGGGTTTCATAAATGGGTGTATCTTGGCGGAAGGTTTAATAAACAGGTGTATCTTGGAGAAGGATTTAATAAATGGGTGCATCTTGGCGAAGGGTTTAATAAACAGGTGTATCTAGGGGGTTTAATAAATGGGTGTATCTTGGTGCACAGCTTCTTAGAGGCTTCAACATACATTGTAAAGATGTGGGTGGATTCTGGTACATTTCCCAAGAAACATCTTAAATTTTTTTTTTTTTTTTTTTTTTTTGAGACTGAATCTCACACTCTTCCAGGCTGGAGTGCAGTGGTGCGATCTCTGCTCACTGCAACCTCTCTGCCTCCCAGGTTCAAGTGTTTCTCCTGCCTCAGCCTCCTGAGTAGCTGGGATTACAGGCCCCTACCATCACCTCTGGCTAATTTTTGTATTTTTAGTAGAGACAGGGTTTTGCCACGTTGGCCAGGCTGGTCCCGAACTCCTGACCACATTGAATCTTGAACCCTTATTTCTGGAGATCTCTCATTTTGTGGAGGCGCTAGAGCCAGCCTGAGTTTCAGCAAATTGAAGCTCAAGATTGGAAGGAGAGTAATTGTAGGTAGCTCAGAAGACCCCACGAGCAGTGGTTGAGGGAACATGTCTAAATCAATGAATGCTTCATGAGTTTTTGGAACACAGTCAAGGTGTGGTAAATGTGAATTCTCCTTAGCACTGAGCCTCTTACTGCATCTGGCACAGGATCAACATGCATAATGGGGCCTGGGCAGCGTTACCTCTGCCCCGTTACCTCTGTGGTTTGTCAGCTGGGCCCCCGCATGACCCCACAGGCTCTGGGAGCCCTCGGAGCTGGGAGCAGTTTCTGAAGACGCAACGATCCTCCACGCAGGCGCCGGGAATTGTATGTAGGAGGCATCGACCTGAGATTTAATTTGCACATAAAGGGACACAGGGTCCTGCTGCTTTAACAAGCTGCGTGTCCTTAAACAATCTAACGAAAAGGACCAATGTAGAAAGCGTGAGCTCCCGGGGAATTCACCCAAGTCTCGCTGGGATGGGAAAGTTGCTCCTAATATATTCTGTTCCAGCTCCCTTTTGGAGAGTTCAAAACAATTGCCCATCACTTTCCCTCAGGGGTCTGTCCAGGGTCCTTTGGGTCCACGAATGTCACTGTTGGCCGGTCAAACGGAAGGAACTTGCCCCGAAGCCGGCGAGCTTACAGGTCTCTGAGCAGCTTTAAGAGACTCGCCAGGCACCAGAGAGGAGAGGTTTTGCTGAATTTGGATTCAGCTCAGCTCAGTGCCTGACACAAGTGGTCACTTTTCTACCTGCAGAGCCCCACATGGTTGTCACTGAGAAAATCAAGTGACACAATGACACACTTTTTTCAGGGCACAGGCGGGAGGAGTGGAGCCCACGCTGGTTCTTGCGCACTCATCACCACGCAGCGTCTCCCTGGCGTCTGCTGGATGGCAGCCGGCAAATGGGCAGCATCTCTGCAGAATTATTTGTGCTGGGCACTGAGGGGCATCTCAGCACCTGCCAAGGGGAGATGCTTAGCCCCATCAGGTCCCCAGTGGTAGGGCCTGCGAGACCAGCCTGGGCATCTCCCGAGGTCCCCCGTGAGCCGTTCCATGCCCTTCCCTGTGTCCTGCTCTCATGGCCAAGCATAGAGCTCCTGGCAGCAGCTTCTCCTGCTCCTTCTGAGCCAAAACGCTTGTTTTAACTAAGTAAGCAGCTTGGCCTCTAGAGCTCATCTTTAGGAAAGCACCTAGGTGGCAGGGGCCCTGCGCTGGGAGCTGTTTCATCTTTGTTGGCCTAGAGCTTTCCAGCTGTGGGGACACAGAAGCCCCTGCACCACAGGAAGCCCCTGACCCTGGCTTGCTGAGAGTGGATGGGGGGTGGCTGGTGACCCTGGGGTGCAATGTCGCTCCCCACAACTACTGGCCTGGTTGATATTCACAGGACAGTGCCCTGCAGACACACCCAGATGACACAGGTGTGCTCTAACTGCCTCCAATCGGGGAGGCAGGAGCAGGGGAGGCTAGGACGTGGGGACTGTAGGAGCACTACAATGATGAATGAAAGCAGATTTAGGGGCAACAGGAGACTGGGAGGGACGTGCCTCCAATACTGCATTGCATGAGAAAGCCTGTGGGTTACAGAGGAACTTGTCCTTGCTGCAGGCCGAGTGGGTCCCAGGCTGCAGCTCTGAGAATGACAGCTAGGGGGTCTGCAGATCAGCTACGCCCGGGGCCACGGTGCCCTCCCTCAGAGTGGGCAGCTGCCGGGCCCCTCACGTGGAGTGCAAGCTCTGAGCTTGTCGAAGTGGCTTCCCCGTTAGCTCACCCAGAGCTGCTGCCTAAGTTGGTTCATTCTGGCATGAATAAGGCAGGAATAAATGAGAATGGCTCTCACTGACAAAAGTAGCAAAAGCCCTTAAAAAACGTATATATAATTTCAAGGAGCACAGTCCACACCTGACCAGGACCAAGCTTAGCCTTGCTCCTGCATCGGGGTGTGAGTGACGACCCAGATAGGGCCCCCGCAATGACTGAAAGAGACATCGTGATTGCCCCTTTACACATGGGGGACTCCAAGCCCAGAGAAGACGCTTGAGATATTTGGTCACAAGGGTTGTACGAATCAGGACCTCTTTGGTTGCAAGTGTTAGAAGGCACAATCTTGGCTCTTGGAACTGAAAAGTTGAGCAGCGGCTGGCTCAGAAAAGAAAAAACGAGTTGAGCAGCGGCTGGGGTCAGGGTCCAGTGGAGGCAGCAGCCGGCCTTTCTCCATCCCCACCTCCGGCTGCTTCCACGAGAGCCGCACACGGTGCCTGCAGGACCCAGCAGAGCTCCAGGCGCACGAGCGCACCTGCCCCAGCAGGAAGACGGACTTCCGCCGCCCTGAGCTGAGTCCTGTGCCCCTCACGGAACAAACACCAGGGAGGAGGGTGGCATCTGGGCGTGGGGCAGGAGCCGGCCCAGTTCCACTTGGAAGGTCCCGGCCTCAGCTTCATGCTCTGCTGGCGCCATCTTGAAATTCTTAGTGATTTTCGAACATTTCTGTTTTACACTGGACACTGCAAATTGTGGAGTCCCTTTTTGCCAGGAGAGTAGGTTTATGCTGATCAGGTTAATCAGAGCCCCCGTTGGAGCTGAGGGGTCAGCCTCATCCACTCAGGAAGCTGCGGGGCAGGAGGGGTGGCCCCAGGGAGGAGGCTTCCTCTGACCAGAAGGAGATGGGAGCTGATGGCGAGGAAGGCAGGATGACTCTCCACTGAAGTGGGGCCGCCTCCGACTCGATGACAGTGTGCGCCATTGGCTGAGCCCCTCCATCAGCCGTCTTTGATTGATTCACATATTTGAGAATTCACAGTTTGATGTAAATGACATACTGCACCAGCCCGCATTTCCAGGCCTGTGTGAGCTAAGTGGCTTCCTTTATGCTAACCACGCACCAATTCCACACAGCATTTTTTCTCAGTGAAACTCCCTCTGTTCTATTCTCCCCCGACCCCACCAGGCAAAGCAGAGTGGGCACGTGGCAGGCTCCCCACGTGTGTGTGCAGAATAGCGGTTGATGAGCAAATCGCTCAGAAGTAGATTTTAGAAGGCGCCCTACCCCTGGCCAGACCGGCGCGCGCACGCGTAAACACTGACTTTGGACCAGAGCAGAATGAGACAGCCTTCCTTCCCTACCCCTCATCCTGGGGCTCAGCACAGGCTAAATGAGGTCTGTCTGCTGCTTCACTTAGGAAATGTCTGCAGGGCAGTTCCCAAGACATTAGCCAGGCCTCATGACACCCCAGATGTCAGCACTTCTCCAGTCTGTCTCGTGGAACAGAAGTTCCGTGAGATGCTCATGAAAATCGAGTTCCAAGGTCATGAGAGAGGCTGTGTGTTTACTCCATTTTGGAGATTTTCAAATTGTATCAGCACAATGTGCATTACAAGCCCCGGGAAGCCCTTCCATAAAGAAATCTGCTTAATTCTGTAGAACTCAGCCCTCCACAAGTACACGCTCGTGGAAATGCTCTGGGCACTAGCACCTGTTTGTGTTTGGCAGAACACACTTTGGGAACCGCTCCCCAGGCCTCGCTGCAGTTTTCTAAAGACAAGCAAGAAACTGCTTGCTCAGTGGCTCATTCTCCTCTAGAGAGCGTGAGGCTCACAGAAAAACAGGGACTCTGCAGAACAGAGCCTGGACCCCACTCCCAAACCGCCGTGAAGCCGCCGCTCTTCGGTAGAAATGGGGACACGGGATACACAGTGTAGCCTCCTTGCTGGTGCCGTTTAAAATGCACCGCGGTCTTCACAGCATGCGAGCTCCCATTGAATCCATGGGGATCCAAGTGTCAGAGGATTCCAAGGCTGCACCTGGCCTTTGTGGGAAGGGAGCTGGGACCATCACCGGAGGCCCCGAACAGCGCTGGCACCTGCCCTCCATGGTCAGTCCTGGAACCGGGGGTACCCGTGTGCTGTGAAACCCCAGAACCCAGCTGTCTTCTCTGACAGGGAGAGGACCCAGGCTTCCCGCAGCATGACCGAAGGCCGGGGTGTTCCAAAACCCTGGTCCCCGCAGGGCTCTGTGCTGCTTACCATCATCACGCCTCCTTCCCATGGGTGATGCCTTGTGGGAAAGTCACGACCAGACCACACACACCGGGCCGTCCCCCACCCGGCTGCCTCCACAGTGGGTCCCTCAGCTGCTCCGGAGGCTCCTTCTCATCCGGGAGGTGGGGAGGGTGACGCTGGGCCTGACGGTGTTTGTGGCTGCCGGGACACACAATGGGAGGCATGTAATCCCATTTCATGCCAGGCTGGGGCCCTGGCGAGGGGTCCTGGGACTCTCTGATACTGCGCTTGCTCTTTCCAGTTTTCCAATCGTGGTCAGGGGCCCCAGCGGTTAAGGTTCCGGTGGAGACAGTGATGATTCTCAGGCCTTCTTCCCTCCTGCCTTGAGGTCGTTCCCGGCCCTCCCTGACTCAGCCGTCGCTGAGGCCTTAGCTGCAAAACAGCTGCTTTCTAGAACATTCAGCTGTCCCAGGGCTCCAACTCCAAAGCCATAAGCCCTCCCACTCAAGCAAATTAAAACCATCCACATGCCACGCCTTTTTACAAACCGTGTGGAACGCAGAAGAACAGCATGAAAAGGAGGCTCTCAGTGACCAGGTGGGGAGGGGAGCAGTGCCATCTCGTCCCGGGCACCAGCCCCTCAGTGCCATGGAGCACTGCGTTGTCCCCACCCAGAGGAGGAGCACGGGCTGGCAGTAGCTCAGGGTGCTTTACTGCATGGTGTCTTCAGGCCTGGCATCAGGTGGGAAAACACTCCTGAAACTAAATTAACCAGTTTTAGATCTAATTTTACCAGGCTGGAGTGGGCTGCAGATTGATTTTCAGGGCATCTAGTAGAGAGCACTGCGGCTGCCTTTCTCCCAGAAAATCCATCTCCATGTGCTGCCGTGACTTGCTTTGCTGGTTGCTGGGAGCAGTGAGAGGCCAGCGATTCACCACGATGTGTCTCACTCTGTGCACTTCAGGAAGTTGTGACACAGAGTCCAGGCCCTGAGGTGTGTTTGCTAAATGCGCCTTTTATGGTAAAACTGCTGCCCGGACTCGGACTCAGGGAGGCCCAGGGCTCAGCCCTGCGGTGGAATTGGCCTGGGGGAGCCCACGCTGCTCTGCCGACCCACGCAGGAGAGACAGACGCAGGACAGCTGCAGGTGCTGGCTCCACGTGGCAGGCAGAGCCCTGGAGCCTGTCCCCTCTCTGCCCACGCTCAGCGGTGCCTCCAACCCTGCCCACCACACACCCCATTCCATCTGCGGTTCATGCTTTTCCCCTGATCTGAACCTGCTAATTCTCGCTCCTCACGTTTGTCCTCATCCCTCAAAGCCAACCTCCAAAATAAGAGACAGAAATGGAAAGTGTGGCTGCACTGGCACCTCCCAAGCACAGGCCAGATGCAGGCTGTGACATCCTAGAATGCAAGGCTTCCTTGGGGCAGCCTCCCACCAGGGCCTCCTGTGTGTCCCTCAGGGCACTCTCAAGGGCAGCCCCCTGCTGGGTTTTCTTCCCTTTGTTTCATTATTATTGTTGTTATTATTACTCATAGTCCTAGTGACACAGCACAAATAAACTTCCCTGGTCAGTGGTTCCCTGGCACACTCAGTGACAAGCTGGTACATCCTTCAAATAATATTACAAAAACCCTGAACGTAGGAAAGACCACATTTACGAATGCGTCTCAGGGCGTGATCATCACACAGCAGGACGACCCCCACAGAGCATCTGTCACACTCCCCCTCTTGTATCTCAGCACTCATTAGCCACTTCCCGGGAAGCTGAGAGGCAGAGGGACCCCAGGCACCAGGCCGGGGACCCTGCTAGACCCTGCTAATTGACTGAGCTTCAGTCGGAAAGGTGGGAAATGCTGAGTGGTAATGAAAACCAGGAGCCAAAAAAAAAAAGATATGATTGGCCAGATTCTTTATAAATGTCATTTGACCAGTGCCCACCTGTCCCATAAAAGGGTCTCATCTGCAAATCTGGGGTGGCGTCACCCATCACGGGCCCAAAACACCATCCCTCTTCATATCATCGCAAAGATTTCTGAGAGAGGAGGAGATCTCCAGAGGTGGTTTCTCCTTGTTACCCATGAACTATAAATACCCTCCTTCAGCCTCTTAGAAAACAGCCGGCACTTCAGCACAGGGGACTGACTGCCATTGGCCCCTGTAGGCGGCCAGGGGGAGTCAGGGTGTTTCCTCTGTGTTTGGAGATGGACAAAATAACCAGTCCCTGCAAATCTTCTCAGTTCATTTTATTTCGTGTTTCCTACATTCCATGTCATTCATTTACTCATTCAGTGAACATTTGTCGTGGCCCCGCTGATACCAAAACCTGTGCCAGGCTCTGAGGAGAGATTTCCCAGGGCTGAAGTAAGTGCCCACTCTTAGAAGTCCCTGGAAGGCTCTTCGGTGGTTCTCTGGCAAACCACTCTACCCATCAAGACCCCAAAGACAGAGCGGTCTGTTTCCCCCAGCAACCTCGTGCAGGCTGCGCTGCTGCTGCGGAGGGAGAAAATCTCTTCTTCCCAAATGTGAACCTGGCCTCTCAGGTAAACGGGCACGCCAATCCACGCAGAGCCGAGAGCTGGGTAATTTGAGGGTCAGAGGCACGAAAGTCTCTTCTCCATCTATGCTGATACCTGAAATTCCACCGTTAAAACTTTATTTATATTGATCAATTGTTCCTTAGCCTATTACAGATTTCTCAAAGAAAGAAACGGCAAATACACGTTTTTGAGTTGTCTTACCTCCGCACCAGAACTGGGTTCTGACAGTTTTAGGAAAAACAGAAGGTTTATCTGGAACTGGGGTTAGGGGCTCCTGGAGAGGGGTCTTCACTGGAGCTCCACAGGGAGAGGAGGGGCCCTGAAAAACAGGAGCGAGTGGGAGGACCAAGGAAGAAACCCGTCTCCCTCCCAACCATGCACAGGTGAAAGGCCAGATGTCCCGAGGAGCGCTCATGGTCTTTCACCCCGTGTCAGTGCCACTGCCTGTGCTGGGCAGCTTCCTGCGCCCTGGACACAATTGCAGGAAGCAGGCGAAGCCCTGCCCCAGGAAGCCTGCACTCGGGAGGGGAGAGACGGACGGTGACCCAGGAAGCCTGCACTCGGGAGGGGAGAGACTGATGGTGACCCAGGAAGCCTGCACTCGGGACGGGAGAGGAGGACGGTGACCCAGGAAGCCTGCACTCGGGAGGGGAGAGACTGATGGTGACCCAGGAAGCCTGCACTCGGGAGGGGAGAGGAGGGCGGTGACCCAGGAAGCCTGCACTCGGGAGGGGAGAGGAGGACGGTGACCCAGGAAGCCTGCACTCGGGAGGGGAGAGGAGGACGGTGACCCAGGAAGCCTGCACTCGGGAGGGGAGAGACGGACGGTGACCCAGGAAGCCTGCACTCGGGAGGGGAGAGGAGGACGGTGACCCAGGAAGCCTCCACTCGGGAGGGGAGAGGAGGACGGTGACCCAGGAAGCCTCCACTCGGGAGGGGAGAGGCTGATGGTGACCCAGGAAGCCTGCGCTCGGGAGGGGAGAGACGGACGGTGACCCAGGAAGCCTCCACTCGGGAGGGGAGAGACGGACGGTGACCCAGGAAGCCTCCACTCGGGAGGGGAGAGGAGGACGGTGACCCAGGAAGCCTCCACTCGGGAGGGGAGAGGCTGATGGTGACCCAGGAAGCCTGCGCTCGGGAGGGAAGAGACGGACGGTGACCCAGGAAGCCTCCACTCGGGAGGGGAGAGGCTGATGGTGACCCAGGAAGCCTGCGCTCGGGAGGGGAGAGACGGACGGTGACCCAGGAAGCCTCCACTCGGGAGGGGAGAGGAGGACGGTGACCCAGGAAGCCTCCACTCGGGAGGGGAGAGGCTGATGGTGACCCAGGAAGCCTGCGCTCGGGAGGGGAGAGACGGACGGTGACCCAGGAAGCCTCCACTCGGGAGGGGAGAGGCTGATGGTGACCCAGGAAGCCTCCACTCGGGAGGGGAGAGGCTGATGGTGACCCAGGAAGCCTCCACTCGGGAGGGGAGAGACTGATGGTGACCCAGGAAGCCTGCACTCGGGAGGGGAGAGGCTGATGGTGACCCAGGAAGCCTGCGCTCGGGAGGGGAGAGACGGACGGTGACCCAGGAAGCCTCCACTCGGGAGGGGAGAGACTGATGGTGACCCAGGAAGCCTGCGCTCGGGAGGGGAGAGACGGACGGTGACCCAGGAAGCCTCCACTCGGGAGGGGAGAGGCTGATGGTGACCCAGGAAGCCTGCGCTCGGGAGGGGAGAGACGGACGGTGACCCAGGAAGCCTCCACTCGGGAGGGGAGAGGCTGATGGTGACCCAGGAAGCCTCCACTCGGGAGGGGAGAGGCTGATGGTGACCCAGGAAGCCTCCACTCGGGAGGGGAGAGACGGACGGTGACCCAGGAAGCCTGCACTCGGGAGGGGAGAGACGGACGGTGACCCAGGAAGCCTGCACTCGGGAGGGGAGAGGCTGATGGTGACCCAGGAAGCCTCCACTCGGGAGGGGAGAGGAGGACGGTGACCCAGGAAGCCTCCACTCGGGAGGGGAGAGGAGGACAGTGACCCAGGAAGCCTGCACTCGGGAGGGGAGAGGAGGACGGTGACCCAGGAAGCCTCCGCTCGGGAGGGGAGAGACGGACGGTGACCCAGGAAGCCTGCACTCGGGAGGGGAGAGGAGGACAGTGACCCAGGAAGCCTGCACTCGGGAGGGGAGAGGAGGACGGTGACCCAGGAAGCCTGCACTCGGGAGGGGAGAGGCGGGCGGTTAGTAGGCGTCACAGGGACACTGCAGGCGGGGATGGCAGGGAGGAAATGGAGCAGGACAGGAGCTCAGGGCCGGATTCTTCGATCCTGGGACACAGCACGTGCCTGGCAACTTTTTGTTGAACAAATGAATGATGGAAGTAATGAATGACAGGCTTTTCTATCCTTTGTTCAAATAGCCCAAACTCACCAGAGACGGGCGTGAAGGCTGCGTCGGCCGAGGCGTGGGCGCCCACCCGTGCAGCTGCGATGGGTCACCGAGGGGGTGGGGACAGGGATGGGAAGTTCAGTCCGGCAGCACTCTCAAGGCTGGAGAGAGTCGCACGAGGAGAAGAGTCGGGAGGCTCAAAATAATAAAACCCATCCCGTGTACCAGCCAGGAGCTCAGTGCTGAGGAAATAATTAGATTTAGACTTGCAAGCTCAGCTATTAACTCTTTGACCTGCTCTCTAAACAAATTACTTACGCGATCATTGCTCGCTTTCCAGTTAACTAGAATGTCTAATGCGTAGAAAAGGTGAGAAATGGCCCGCATTTGGACCAGTGCTGAAGAAACATGGACTCAGAGCAGACAATGTGGCTCAGTCCGGTCAGCGGAGGACAGGGCACCCTGCTAGGAGGGTTCACGATGCCGCACTTCCAGATTCAAAGAAGCTCAGTAGAAAATAAAGCAAAGTGCTGGTCATGACTGGCTTCAGAAGGGCAAGCGTCAGCAAGGCCTGGGGAAGCCGGGGGCGCTGAAGGCAGCCGCTATGAGACACAGTGAGCCGAGCCTGGCCATCACAGGAGGGCAGCCCCCCACCCTGCTGCACTCCCGGTCCTTGTCTCATTGGATTCCCGCAGCTGCCCAGGACGCAGATAGGGATGGTCTGCGACGCCGGGATGGTCTGCGTCGCAGGGATGAGGACAACAGCTATAGGGAGGTCCAGCACTCAGAAGAGTCTCACAGCCCCTGCACTGGAACCTGGAGGCGCCGAGGAGGCAGCCTGGGCCCTCAGGGAGCAGACGCCCCGCTGGGGAGAAGTGCCTGGCGGCCCATCACTGCCCCCTGGGCTGGGCAGTAACAGCAAGTATGAGGCTGCGGTCATCAGGGCTGGAGGAGTTAGAGGAGGGCAGGAAGGACCTTGCCATTCTCTTATCAAGGAACTGTCAGGACCTCTGTGAAGCTGAGGCCTTCAGCGAGCTCCTCCCAGGACCGTCGGAGAGTCCCAGGTTGGAGACAGGAGGGAGGTGGCCAAGGTCCCTGGCTCACCCACTCACCATGGGGCTTAAAGCCTGACTTGTGCATTAGGCTTCGATTCAAGACGGTGTCATCAGCTGTCGGGCCGGAGCTCTGAGCAGTGAATTCAGAAAGAACAGATTAGGCTTGGAGAATAAAAAATCTTGGCCAGGCACGGTGGCTCACATCTGTAATCCCAACACTTTGGGAGGCCGAGGTCCCAGGCAATATAGCAAGCCCTCAGCTCTAGTGAATATAAAACAATAGCCAGTTATGGTGGCACGCATCTGTAGTCCCAGCTACTTGGGAGGCCGAGGCAGGATCAACTGAGCCCAGGAGTTCGAGGCTGCAGGGAGCTGTGATTGTGCCACTGCACTCCAGCCTGGGGACAGAGCAAGATCTTGTCGAAAGAAAGAAAGAGAGAGAGGAAGAAGAAGGAGGAGGAGGGAGGAAGAAAAGAAAAGAAAAGAAAAAATGACCTGTGCACAGCGAGTCCTGGTATATGGGGTGACCCTCTTCCTTAGCAGGGAGGGGAAGCAGCTCCTCCCCTTAGACGCTCCTACCAGGTCTTTGCAGAATGCAAGTCTCATCTCAGGCCCTGGCTTCAGACCCTTTGACGTTCCTCAGGCCCCAGGCAGGTTGTCAGTGACTTCATGCAGTGCAGGGAGCCCAGTGGGCCTGACTTGCTCCTCTGTGGCTCGTGACCCACCTTTGACCCCCCAGCACTGGTCACACGAACCTCCGTGAAATTCCACGAGGTCACTCCCTCTCCCCTCCTGGGCCTTTGCACAACATCCACTCAAGAAAAATGACTTTGGCAACCAGTTAACAAATAGATTGGTGAACATGATGAATAGGAGATTATTGCAAAGCCCAGATGAGAACCGAAGCAGCAGGAGCAGGCTGTGGAGCAGAGAAACACCAGGAGGGACCCTCTAGAGAAGCTGAGGCACTTAACAGGTGCAGTGAGGGCAACAGGTAGGCAGAGGTGACCCGCGGGCCTTGAGGCTGGGCCCCGGGTGGATGGCGTTAAGTGGATCAGAGGAACAAGGACACACTGCATCTTCACAGGACATACTTGTCCAGTTTTGAGTAGATGGACTCAGAAATCTTACAGAACAATCAGATAAGCTTCCAGTAGGACGTGAGGAATTTGGCCTTGGAATCAGAAGCTGATTGGGGATTAGAGTGTGGTTGCCTTCAGGCCACCTGCCTCCCAAAGGAGCTTCTTTCATACGTGGGATGGCTCTGCGCTTTCTCTTCTAAACCTGGGACGAGTGAGTGGAGCAAGTGCTATTAATGATTACACCCTAAGGCAGAGTTCACGGAGGACACCACCCTGAAAGGACGAGGATGATGTCAGGCAACTTCTGCAGCCTCCACCCCCAGGAGAAGCACTCATGTCTAGAACTTTGCAAATTTGGCTGAGCCTTGGCTAATCCTTTGGAAAGCTGTGAGTTTCTCCTTGTGAAGTGTGAACACACACCTTTAGACTATTTTCCTAATTTAAATATACTTTCTTGCAAGGAGTCACCTTTTCCCATCAATCATTTGAAGGACCACCTGTATCTGTGCCCACCGCTCACATCTGGAAGGGCACACAGAACAATCTGGTGTGTGTCTGTGTTGGCGTTTCAGCTTTTTCCAAGGTTAGCTGGAGCGTGGTGCATAACGCGTGGCCTGGGTGGTCTTTGAGACTGTGCACAGTACCATAGTCGCTGTGAAAACCGTGCCCTGTCACAGGTCCCAGTGTTGACACAGGAATGTCCCAGTGCCCTGGCTTTGAGGAAAGCTACCTGGTAAGAGAACAAAATGCCTTAGAAATTAAACCATGAGATGGGGAAGGTGGTGATGGCTAATGCGTACCCACAAAAAATAACTGGGAAGAATGAAAAAGACCTAGTTTTTGATAGCACAACAGGATGAATAGAGCCAATAATAATGTAATTGTGCATTTTAAAATAACTGAGTATAATCGGATTATTTGTAACACAAAGGATAAATGCTTGAGGGGATGGATACCACGTTTTCCATGATATGATTGTTATGCATTGCACGCCTGTATCAAAACATCTCATGTGTCCCATAAATAGATGCACCTACTATGTACCCACAAAAATTAAAACTAAAAAATACTAGAAACATTTTAACCAACAGAGAGAAGAAGAAATTAAACCATGAAAAATGGACACATTCCACCAATAGCTCAAATTTGGCTGTGCGACTAGTTGCTAGCCCTGCTTTGAGCCCTATGAGTTGGAAGTGATGTTTCTACATGCACAGCTACTAGGAGCTCCTGTCACTGCCAGAGGCTCACTGCCACTTTCACAGAGAGACTACTTCCTACAAATGTGGGGACTTTGAGAAGGAAATTAGGAGTTGTATGTTTTTTTTTGAACACAATTACCTCTTTAAAGAAACTCTCTCCAAATACGGTCACATTCTGAGGGACTGGGGGGTTAGACTTCAGCATGAATTCTTGTAGGATATCATTCAGCCCATGACAGTGAACATGTGGCTGACACCGCAGGCCACCTCCGTTTTAACTGGACGCTTTCAGGACCAAACCTATGAATCCATCTCTGAAATTGCCAGGAAACATTCACCAAAAGAATCAAACCTTCTCGTGTTTTACAAAACACAGTGCAGACCCAGAATCTCTTTAAAAGTTGCCTGAGCTCCCTGTGTTGTTCATAGGACGGGAGCTTGGAGATGGCGTTGTAAAACCCATGTTCCTCCTAAAAACCTGTGAGACGAACTCCTTGCCTTTCGTCTGCAATGTTACTCCTCCTCCTGCCTGCGTGGAGGTTAATCATCCCCTTGCTTCTCAGGGCATTCCACCTGTCCACACTGATTTGCTTTTGTGTTTAGATAGAAGTGCATCCATTTGAAGACATACCTGTATTCTGTTCGAATATACAGCTATGGAGAAAGTGGGTCAAGCCTGAGGGAGGCCATCTGTCAGAGCGTGTTTTGGCAAAAGGAAAACATGAGAAGGAAACTTGTAACAGAGGCTGAAGTATTGTAGCCTGAGGGCACCAAGAGAGTTCTGTGGACTCCAACTGTCAGCCCCAATCCCGGTTATGTAACTGTTCAGGAGTGCAGAGCTTTGCAAGATGTGGAATGGACATGGCCCACAAAAGGGAAAGGCAGAAGTGCAAACCTCACTTTCAATTTTTGAAATAAGGACAGACTCAAAGTGCTCGATTTATGTATTTTTAATAGCCTATCCTATGAAATATTTAGTGCTTTTTAGGAGGTAGAGTATTAGATCAAATTCTGACCAGGCACGGGGGCTCACACCTGTAATCCCAGCACTTTGGGAGGGTGAGGCAGGCAGATTGCTTGAGCTCAGGAGTTTGAGACCAGCTTGGGCAACATGTCAAAACCTCATCTCTACAAAAAATATAAAAATTAACCAGGCATGGTGGTGGGCACCAGCTATTCAGGAGGCTGAGGTGGGATGATCGCTTGAGCCCAGGAGGTTGAGGCTGCAGTGAACCAAGATCACACCACTGCACTCCAGCCTGGGTGACAGAGTGAAACTGTGTCTCACAAAAAAAAAAAAAAAAAAAAAAAATCCAATTCTTAGACATCCTGGCAGTTATCATTTTATTATCATTTTTATTGAAACTTCCAGCCAATGTGTTATTTCACATGAATAAGTTTCCAGATAACTGACATAACATCACGCACCAAAAGATGTTTTTAAGTTTTCATCATACTTGCTAAAAATTGTTTGATAAACTGTTTGTAAATGAAACAGAGTTTCAATCCACAAAGTGGACTCCAAAAACATTGATCTTTTCACAGTCCCTCAAATCATCGTGGGTAAACTGAGGCCTCAGAGACCACCAAGGCATGTGTGGTTGGGCCTGTGAGAAACAAACTCACTTGTCCAAACCCAAAGAATGGACTTAGAGACCCGGAGAACAGCGATAGTGAGTCTTTTAATGATGGGCTTGCAAGATCAGGTGTCTGATGGGCAGGCACACCTAGCACAGTTTCAACAAGCAATTTATCCCCTAGTGCACAGGTCCCTCCCCCAGTCCCTCATAGGCTGAGCACTATGGGGGGGTCACAGTCTTCCCAGACATCGCCTATTGGTTGTTGGGCAGGAGCTTTAGGTGTTTTCTTTAGGGTTGTCTTACTGCATTTTATTGCAACCCACAATGCATTGCAATCCCAGTCAGCTCAGGGGCTCTTCAGGTATTTGACTTGTGACCTAAGTAGCTGGGCAGGCTGAAAAGAACAGACAAAATGAGCTATTTCGCAGGCTAGTAAACTTTCATCTTAGACTAAACTTCTTTGGTTCAGGTGAGGGCAACTAAGGGGGCAGGGGGTGAGCCAAAAAGCAGGTGTTGGCTATCCAAGCAAGGGCCTAGTATATCCTGTTTTTTCTGTAGTTTGCTGACCTAAGCCGATTTAAGGCACGTTGTCTTGGAAATGGACCACTGTATACATTATTTCCTTCAGGCCTGAGGCTCACAGTTCTGATCCCAGCTTGCAGCTTTCTGGAGCTCTTGTTTGCCCCTCACTGGTTACTCCCCCTTCACTTTATGTAGATGCAGAGGATCTGCAAATCCAAAGTTGGCTCTGAAGGACTTTGTCTTTGAGACTGTAATTTTTCTTATTGCAATGTCTAAGGCTTTTTAATATATTTGAGCTTTCACATCTATAAAATAGGGGGAATAAAAAAGAAAACGGAAACCCAAAGTCCGATAAGTAGAGGCATAAGCAGATATGCTTTCCTAGCAGAGATCTTCATTTAATATCTATCATCCTCAATTTTCTTCTTTATAGATTCAACAATTCTTTGAGGCTTGCTTTACATCATTTATTTTCTTGTCCAGTCATGATTTTTGGTTTTTAATTGTTTTTAATAATGGAAGTATAATTTACATACAGCAAAATGTACAAACCGCACATGTTACAGTCCAATGACAAATGCAGACACACATGTAGCACATGCCCCATCTAAATACAGCATCTTTTCATTTCAGCAGCAGAAGCCCACTTCCGCCTCTTCCCCACAATCTACAAGCACCCTTCAGAGATGCCCATGCTCTGCTTTCTCCACGGAGTGCTGAAAGCCTCCTGGAACTTTATGTAAATGGAACCACACTGCATATTCCTTTTTGTGCCCAGACTTTTTTGCTCAGCATAATGCTTTTGAAATCCATCTATATCATAATGTAAAATTTTAATATTTCACTCATTTTGTTTTGTTTTACTGAAGAGTAATTCATTGTATAAATGCACCACAATTAATGTATCCATTCTTCTCTTGATGGGCATTTGGAATATCTCCCATTTTAAGCTGTGACGAATAGTTTGAATAAATATCCCTATGTGAGTCTTTTTGTGAACATATACATTTCATTTATCTTGGTTAAATATCTAGAAGTGGAGGTGGTAATTCGTAGGAAAGGTGTATGTTTAACAACCAAGACATTTTCCAAAGTTTCTTGAAGTTACTATACCAGGGGATGAGCTCTGATTTTCCACATGGTTACTGACATGTAAACATGTAGCGCCGTCAGCCTTTATTTTTTATTTATTATTTATTTATTTATTTATTTATTTATTTATTTATTTTTGAGTCAGAGTCTCACTCTGCCTGTCACCCAGGCTGGAGTGCGGTGGCACGATCTCAGCTCACTGCAACCTCTGCCTCCCCGGTTCAATCGATTCTTGAACCTTAGCCTCCCAAGTAGCAGGGATTATAGGTACCCACCACCACACCCAGCTAATTTTTGTATTTTTTGTAGAGATGGGGTTTTACCATGTGGCCCAGGCTGGTCTTTTGGAAGTGCTTATTGGCTATTTGTATGTCTTTGTAGTGTCTTCCACAGTGAAGTTTCTGTTCAAGTATGTTGCCCACTTTTTATAAGTGGAGATTTGTTATCCTTTATTATTAAGTTGCAAGAGTTTTTATATTCTGGATACAAAACAGTCATCTTGATTGTAAATATATCATCCCAATCTATCCATTCCTTTTAGCTTAATCAACAGTGTATTTCAACAAGCTGAATTTTTCCAATTTGATGAAAACTAATTTGTCATTTTTTTCTTTTGTAGTTAGTGCTTTCTATCTCCTAGCTAAGAAATCCTTGCCTAAATGAAAACCATGAAAGTAATCTCCTCAATTTTCTTCTTAAAAATTTATAGTTTTAGCTTTTTCATTTAGGTCTGTGATCCATCTTGTGATCATTTTCACATATGATGTGAGGTAGGGCTCAGAATCATTTTTTTCAATATGTTGTCTAGTTTCTTAGAACTATTTATTAAAAAGACTTTCTTCATCAACTTGCTTTGGTACCTTTGTTGAAAATCAGTTGATCATACAGACTTGATTCTATTCCTAGACTTCCCCTTTTGTTCCACTGGTATTTATCTAGCCTTACGCCATTACTACATTGTATTTGTTCTGCAGTATCAATATTGTTTCGACTATTCTGGGTCTTTTGCATTTCCATATAAACTTCAAAATTATCTTTCAATTTCAACAAGAGTACTGATTGAGATCGAATCATATCTATAGAAAAATTAGGGGACAGTTGATATTGTAACAATATGGAACCTTAGATTCTATGAAAATGGCATACATTTCTATTTATTGAGGTCTTTTTAAACTTATTTTAGCAATTGTTTGTAAATGTGAGTGTAGAGGTTTGGCATGTCTTTTTTTTTCTTCAGATTATACCTAAGTATTTTATACCTTTTTGTCCAAACAGTATTGTTTATTAATTTAATTTTCCACTTTTTCATTACTGGTACATAGAAGCATGTAGACTTTTGTGTATTGGAGTTCTGTCCTGTGACCTTGCTGAATTCACTTATTATTTCTGGTAGTTGTTTTCATCTTTCCTTAGGAATTTCTACATATATGATCATGCCATGAGGATAAAGTCAGTTCTACTTCCTTTCCAATCTCTATGACTTTTATTTTCTGGCCTTATGACACTAACTAAGACCTCTGTCCAATGTTGAATAGAAGTGGTGAAGGCAGACATCCCTGCCTTGTTCCCAGTACCACAAGGAAATCATTCACTCTTTCGTCATTAAATATAATACTAGTTATAACTTTTGGATATGTCCTGTATCAATTTGAGGAAATTTTCTTCTAGTCCTTTGTGTGGTGAGAATTTTCATGAAGAATGGGTTTTGTATCTATAGATAAATTAGGAGACAATTGATATTACAACAATATTGAATCTTGAATTCTGTGAAAATGGTGTATCTTTCTATTTATTTATCTTTAACTTATTTTAGCAATAGCTTGTAAATATGAGTGTGGAGGTTTGGCATGTCTTTCTCAAATGTTTTTTCTGCATCTTTTAAGATACTATTATTTTTCCCCCTTTATTATGTTAAGGTTGTGAATTACATTGATTGATTTTCAAACTGTAAACCAATCTTGCATTCCAGGATGAACCACACTGGTTCATGATACATTAACATTTTTATATAGGGATGAACTTGATTTGCTAATATCTTGTTAAAAACTCATCTGCTCGTGAGGACCATGGGTCTGTAGGTTTTTTTTCTTATAACATCATTGATTGGTTTTGGCTTTAGATTAACATTGGCCTCATCAAATAATTTTGATAGTCCACCCCCTTCCATTTTTCTAGAAAATTTTGCACAGAATTGGTATAATTTCTTCTTTAAATATTTCTTGCAGTTCACCAGAGGGAGCTCTCTGAGCCTAGTTTACATGTGAGGTTGTTTTTACTATGAATTAAATTTACTTAATATATATTGCACTCTTCTGGTTTTCTGCTTCTCCATCAGTGAACTTTGACAGTTTTTGCCTTTCAAAGAATGTTCCCATTGCAAATATGTTTTTCACTGACTAGCATACAATAGTTTACATTATTCCCATATTCTTATTTAATGACTGCAGGAACTATAGTAAGATCCCCTCATTTATTTCTAATTAGAAAACATGGAAGTTTTTTTCTCCTTTTTCATGATTAATCTAACTTGAGATTTATCAAACCTATTCAAGGAGCCAATTTTTTTGCTTCATTAGGGTTTTTTCCCTATTTTTTTCCACTTCCTATTTTGACTCCTACTATTAATTTTAGTAGTTTCTTCCTCTAACAACTTTGGTTTGATGTACTCTCTTTTTTTAGCTTCTGACAGTGGAAGCTTAGATAATGTTGGACGTTTCTTTGTTTCTAATATAAGCATAAACTTAGAGCTAAAATATGTCTCTCAGCATTGCTTTAACTATGTTTCACAAATTGTGTTATGTTATACTTTCATTATCACTGAGAATAAAGAGGCTTTAATTTTCCTGTGATTTCTCTTTTAACTCTTGGGTCACTTACAATGGTGATACTTAATTTCTGAGTATATACAGATTTTCCATATATCTTTTTGTTACATATATTTAACATAACTATATTGTGGCCAGAAAATATACTTTTATGATCTCAAACCTATAAAATTTATTGAGACCTTTTTTATTTTGTAGTGTACAGTCCATCTCAGCAAATACTCTATACAGTGTTCTATAAATGTAACTTAGGTCAAGTTAGCTGTTAGAGTTCTTCTAATTTTTTGTTCTATACCACCTTTTTCTCACTACTTGTTCTATCAGTAACTAGGGGAGGAATGTTAAAATCTCAAACTAGCATTATGTATGTTTCTACCCTCCTTCATTTTGCTAGTTTTTTATTCATGTTGTTTAAAACTCTGTTGAGTGCATAAACACCAACAAGTATTATATTATCTTGATGACTTGATCATTGTGATATGTCTTTCTTAATCCCTGGCAATATTTCATATTTTGAAAACTACTGTGTCTATTGTTAACATAGCCATTCCATCTTTCTTAAAATAAGCATTTACATGATGTATCTTTTTCAGTCATTTGACTTTTAACCTGTCTATATTTTTATACTTGAAGTAAGTTTTTGTAGCAATAAAAAATATAAGTTTTGTTTTTTAAATACAATTTGAATATCTCTGCATTTTAATTGGAGTACTCAGTCCATTTACATTTAATGTAATTACTGATATATTTGGATTTAAGTGTACCATATTGCTAATTTTTTTCTGTTTATTCAATTTTTTTGTTTCTCTTTCTTTGCCTTTTTCAACAAATCAATCTTTTTTAGTATTCTATTTTATCTTCTCTGTTGACTTTTTAGCTATACCTCTTTGTATTATTTTTAGTGACTGATCTAGAGATTAAAGCATGCATGTTTAACTTATCATAGCCAACTACCTCATGATCAAAGGAAGAAACTTGCAACAGAATAATTATATTTACCCCATCCCAAGGTGTGTGCTGCTCTTTTTATATATTTTCTAAATATACAATAAACATTACAGTACACTGTCATTATCTTGTATTTAAAGAGTTAATAGTCTTTTAGCAAATTTTTGATTTGTATTCTGTCATTCTCATTGCAGTTGCTCTGTATGTAAGATGTCCTGTTTCTCTGGCTACTTTGAAAATACTTTCCCTATCTTTTGTTTTCAGGAATCTGGCTGTGCTGATTGGTACAGTCTTCTTCAGATTTATTCTATGTAAGTTTGATTGAGATACTTGGATCTGTGATTTGATGTGTCTAAAAGAATTGAAAACTTTTAAACTATTATTTAAAGTATATTTTCTACCTTAACAGTTTTTCCATTTTTTTCTTGAATTCCAATTATACATAAGTTAGACTGCTTTATATTGTCCAACAGATCGTTGAGTCTGTCACTTTTTTCACCTTTTCTATTTCTCCCTGTGCTTAGTTTTGATTGTTTCTATTGATCTGCCTTCAAATTTACTGATATGTTTTGCAAAGTGACATATCCAATGTGAAACCCATCCAGTAAATTTTTTCATTTCAAATGTTATGTTTTTGAGCTTGAGAATTTTTGTTTTATTTATATAGTTTCCATTTCTCTACCAAGATTCCCCATCTATTTACTTATCATATCCCCTTTATTTTTAAATTCTTAAAAATATTTCTAACATCTATTTAATGTCCTTATCTGCTAATTTCAGCATCATTAGATCTTTTTACTTCGACTATATTTTTTTCTGATGATTGGTCATATTCTCCTGCTGCTTCTCACTTCTAGCAATGTCATTACTATTACTCTATCATTATTTGCTGGGCTTTGTGGATACCATGTTGTTCAGAATATGGATTTCACGGTGTTCCTTGAGTTTTCTTCTAGCAGGTAGATTATTACTGACCAAGGGTAGTTTATTACTGACCAGTTTCTAGTTGAAATGATCAACTAGATGATTTCAAAGCTTGTTTTAAGTCTTTGTTAGCGCATGTTCACGGCAGTTCTTAATCTAGGACTAGAGTATTCCTAGTCCTAAAACATGACCTTTTTACAATCCCAGCTGAATCCTAGCTCTTCAGTGATCTATGACTCCGCCTGATCAGAATGCCAGACTTTCAGCATTGTGCCATCATTTGAATTTTCATTCAGCTCGCAGGTCCCCAGCCACTGCTCTCTGTGAAATCTGAGTCTCTCCTTCTCATGTGGGGCTGAGTCTCAACCAAATCCAGCAGTGGCCCCACCAGATCTCTGAAGCAGCTTCCTTCTGCCCTCAAATTCTAGTTGTCTCAGCAGTGCAAACTTTGGTTTTTGCCTTCTCAACTTATCAGTGCTGCTGTGTTCTTCTCCAGGTCCACTTTTCTACTGCTGAAAAGAGCTTCCAGGTGGGAAGTTGTGGAGCTGTGGGGTGCACTCTCATGCTTTCCTTTTCTCAGGAACAATGGTCACGCACTGCCTGGCATCCAAACTCTGAAAACGGTTGTTTCATAGACTTTGTCCAGTTTTGCTGTTGTTTACAATGAGACAGCTGGTGAGCTGCAACTCCCTCATCCTGGCCAGAGGCTTGTCCATTCACGGCCAGCAAAGCCTTCCTTCCTGCCCTTTCTAGGACTGTGATGTGGGCTCAAGATCACTTCACACACTCCTGTCTTCTCCAGACTCACTTTGGAGGAGGCTATAATGCACTTACCATTTCCCTTTTTGGTTTCAATAGATCAGAAAGAATTTGGTAAGACAGAACTGAAAACTCACTGTGCCCCACTCTGCTAATGGTGTTGAGTCACGGTCCTTGGACCGGGAAGCGTAGAGAACTGGCTCTCCTTCTTCACAATGAGGGAATGTTCCTCTGCACCGTCTATCCCTGGGGCTTTTAGCCAACCCCAGTAACTTGTTTATGAACACATCGTATGTGATTACTTCTGCAGAGAGGAGAGTCCATCTGATTTTTCTACAAAATATTAACCAGACCCTAAATTTAAATGCTTTTCATACTTGAATTAAAAACTATTTATTGCACTATTCTTCCTTTTGTGGCCCGAGAAACAAAGATGCTGTTCTGATCTTAAAGATAGGATAAATGAAACATAGAAGGTTCAATAAAATTTAACAAAGGCAAAGGCAAGGAAGAAAAATCCAGAAAATTCAGCAGCCACTACAAGGATAAACTTTACTCGGGCAGAAAAAGATAGGAAAATGAGGATCTCCTTAAGCAGCCTTTGCTCAGTGTGGAAGGCAACTGTAGGCTGGAAGCCTGGGACGTGCTGAGGACCTTATAGATAGTCCTGGGCACATCCGCTAACTTCTCAATGTCTCAGATTCTTTGCAGAATAAATACATCAAGAAAGCTAAGACGTGTCCCAGTGACTATGCAGTGTGACTAATAACCAAGTAACCAGGTATCCTCAGTATGTGCAGTTATTTTGATTTTCAAAGTACACTAACACCTAATACTTCAACCACATGTTCTTAAAGCCTGATAATTCATATCAAGCATTCTGGGGAAGGCGATGAATTCAGGGGACTCATGAATTCCTGATATTGCATGAAAAACTGCTGGCATATCCACATGTGCCTTTCAGGGAAAATAAGCCATCGCTTTTTTTTTTTTAATCATACTCAAGGAAAATCCTCACCCCAAGATGTTAACAAGAAACAATAAGTAAACTATTAACTCAGGACATTTTGTTTCTAAACAAGATGATTAGGAAATCTGAAAATACCTAAAAATTATTCCAGTGAGTATCTCTTTCCCTCAGCCCTGACAGTGTAGTAATTCTCCCAAACGGTCGTAATATGAAAAACCGACAATAACCTCAGAACCTCAGTGTTGCAGATGCCAACTGCACTTCATGGCTGCACGTGGTTCCAGGCAAGGGCTGCTGTGCCCTCCAGATGTGCACCCAGATGCCCCCTAAAATACATAAAATTGCTTCAGGTAAATGCCATTTATTCCACAGTGAGTAACAAGGTTTATAAAGCAAGTGTCCTGGAACTTACAAGTCGTACATTAAAAACGGCCATCAGACCTTTCCTGAAAAAGACTCTTGACTCTTAGACCAGGGCCGGCCCCAGGCCACTGCGTCCCCCAGGTCAGTTTCCAGCTGGTCCATATTCGATGATGGGAGCCCGAGCTCAAGAACCCAGGATGTGAGCAGCTGAGGAGTGGGGAGTGCCCAGCCGACCCCTGACGTTTCTAGAGTAACACCTGGCCAGCCCAGCCGCCTCTTCTAGGCATTACCCAGAGGGTGGGGAGGCGGCGGTAGCGTGGGGAGCCCTGTGATGCAGCTTCTCCTGGCACACTCCGAAGGTCCAGAACTGAGGCAAAAAAAAAAAAAAAGTATGGCATCCTTTTTTCATCAGAAGCTTGAGTAAAACCAGATTTCCAAAAGATGACAATGAGAAACATGCAAAAAATCGAATTAGCTGAATATCAGAGTTCCACTCGTATTGAACTAACAGAATATACATCAGATCCCAAATGGACAATGAGTTCCGAGGAAACCACAAAGAGAGGCCCTGATGCCAAAGAACTTCTGTTGTACTTTTTCTATATTAAAAATGTAATTCTTCACCTCTTTTCTAAGAACACTCTAAAGATGCGGTCTGCCCTTTCTTGGAAATAATTGCTTCTCTCCCAGAGCTTATGTGCCTTCACGGTGATTGCAGATCATAGTTGGAATTTCAGGTGTACTTGTTAGCAATAAATAAGTGTTAGCAATTCTGCTGGCCTTCTGTTTCCTTTGCTTCAGTTTGGTTGCTCAAGCTGTCCCATGAAATCTGAAGTCCACTGCACTCGTGGAAAGAGAAGTTGGTTAGGCATAACTAGGAGTGTCAGAGAAAATACAGGATGCCCAGTTACATTTGATTTTGTTTTGCCATTGTTTTTTCCATATTTATTTTAATTTTAAAATGTTTATTTGACAAATAAAAGTTGAATATATTCAAGGTGTACAATGCGATGAATTGATATATACATTGGGTAACGATCACCAAAAATTAATTAACACATCTGTCACCAGCCATAGTTACCATTGTGGGGGATGAGGATGCTTAAAATCCACTCTTTTATCCCATTTCAAGTGGGCAATACATGTTATTAGCCAGAGTCCCCATGCTGCACATTAAGACTCCAAAACTCATTCATCCTATCACTGGAAGTTTGTACCCTAGACCAACACCTCCTCACTCTCTCCTTTCTCCCCTCACCCCATGGACCCTGGCAGCACCATGCTGCTCTCTGCTTCGGTGAATTCAACTTTTTTAGATTCCACGTGTGAGTGAGACCATGCACTAGTATTTGTCTTTCTATGCCTGACATTTCACTTAGGATGAGGTCCTCCAGTTTCATGCACACTGGTTGCAAATGGCAGGATTTCCCTTTTTTTAAGGCTGCCTAATCTGTTGCTTGGCTGTACCGCATTTCACTTATCCACTCATCCACTGAAGGACACTTGAGTTGCTTCCACCTCTGGGCTCTGGTGCACGATGCTGCCGAGGATATGAGGATGCAGATCTCTCCTTGAGTTTCCATTATTTGGGCATTGACCCGCCAGCAGGCAGAACTGCCAGTTCCCCCATTTTACATTCCCGGAGGGCTCTCATTTCCCCATGTCCTCACCAACACATTATCTTCTGGCTTTGCTTTGTTTTTCTAATAAACATCCTAATGGGTGTGAGGAGGTATTTCATTGTGGTTTGGATTTGCACTTCCCTAATGATTAGTGATGTTGATTACATTTCCATGTGCTTATTGACATTAGTACATCTTCCTTGGAGAAATGTCTATTGAAGTCCTTTGCCTTCCACTGAATTTCAGACAAACCATGAATAAGGTTTTTAAGTATATATGTGTGTGTGTGTGTGTGTGTGTATATGCACAAATATATATGTGTGTGTCCCACACAATATTAGAAATGACTATATATGAAAAAATTGTCTATTGTTTATCTAAAACTCAATTTTAACTGGATGTCCTGAATTTTTATTTGATAAATCTAACAACATCAGAAAGTAACAACTTTGATGGATCTAAAACAATCCTTAAATATCTTACAATTTTGCTAAAGTAAAGTCTGAAATAGTTTAGTGCATTTTTGTGAGTGTTTGGCTGGTAGCCCTACTTTATTAAAAATGTAATTTCATCTTGAGATCCTCCAGACTGAATCATTTGAGCTTCACACTCTTAGTGTAACATTATTGGACTCCCTTAATGAAATTATAATTCAAGCAAGATATTTCATTCTCTGGTAGTAAATTAGCTTCGGCTGCAAGGGTTTAGGAGAGCAAACCCTTCCCTGGTTTATTCTTGTTCGGTAGAACAAAGAAGGTAAAGGCATTTTATATTTGAGTTATTTATTGTTCTCTCTGTTGCCCGTCCCTACTGGAAACAACAGCTGTTAACAGGCTCCCGAATGAATTTCAATGGGAACTCTCCTGGACTCTGGAAATCTTGGCTAAGGAGAAAACAGGCTCAGCCTCAAAAGAAAAAGAGCCAGTTTCAGGCTGAGTCTGGACGCCTGAAGGCCAAGGGCAGATGAAACCAGCAGTTCATGTTTTCTTGAGAAATCACACTGAAGGAGGTATACAGTGCCACGGTGGGGCACCTGTGGACAGCCGTCCTTGTTACAGGGTGATGTAAACTCAGTGACCTCCTGGGAAATCCCGTCCGCGGATATCCACAGCTTCCAAAACAGAGGGAAGAATCCCACTTAGCAAAGTAGCCAATACCACAGCCAGTGCCCTGGAACTTAGCAGGGATGCTAGGACATGCTTCTGTCGCGCTCTGCACCGTGTTGGATGAGCAACGCTGACATTTCCACCTGGGGCGTCTTAATCAGTGTGGTCCAGGTTCATAATGGCACATGTGAACCGTGCGGGCTGGAGGATGTCTGGGAGCCAGGGGATCCCTGTGCTGTGTCTCTGTTGGCGTCTCCTCTGCAGTGCAGTGAGTTCTGCCGTGTGAACCAATACTCCCAAGTGCGGTGGCTTCATTTAGGTGGTGGAAATCTCCAAATTAAGGAGCTTTTCTTTTGGATCCCTTTATTAGTCATTTTTATTTCTCTCAATCATACCTCAAACCCACCATTCCTTAATCTCGCTATTGATGAAATAAATTGCTGAGACCATGGGAGTAAAAAAGCATACTTTATTGGTGAAGAGCGGCATCTCCTGGTTGGATCTATTTCCACAGCTGTGCTGCACTCACTGTGGTAGGGACCCAGGAGGCAGGACCTGCTTGGCCTTTGCTTACCTGGCCACAGGCTTCAGGCAGAGGCAGTCCCTGGAATTCCAGCCACCGCGTTGAGGACGCTTGGCCGTTTCCGGGAGGACTGTGCATGCTCTGCCCCACACCGCTAGCTCCCTCCTCCCCTCCTCTACTTCTGCCAAACACCCGCTAAGTGACAGGTCCTTTATTTTTAATGCATGTCAAGCCCAGAAAGCAAATTCTGCACTAATAGGAAAAGATAGTCTTGGCTTTATTGGCACCATTCTCTTTTAATTGTGAGATTGTTTTACTTGTTTTAGCCCATCTCTGTGAAATGATCTCGACAGAAGGCTCTGCCCTACCCAGGATTTTGTAAACAGATGCAAGGTTGTCGCCCTGGAGATAGCAAGTTTTAAGGGACATGGGCAAGATGAAGGGGGATGCCAAAATAAGAGAAGGAGAAAGAAGGAAATCGTAGAGTTTTAAATTGAGTGGAGAGAGGAATTTGATAAAATGCTGTCAGATATTCAATAAAAGACTGAACCAGAATGAAATGGCTGAAACCAAAGTGACCTCTCCACCTCCCTTGTCCAACATTCAGTAATAAGAACTTATAAAAGCATTGAGTTTTTCCGCAACTCCATGTCAAAAGTGCATTTCCTGTTCTTTTCTTTCCAGATAAAGTAAGCATATTGTCAACCTTCCTCGCTCCTTTCAAGCACCTGAGTCCTGGCATCACAAACACGGAGGATGACGACACCCTCAGTAAGCAACTTCCCTTCCCCGAAGTACACAAAGGCCCCTGTATCCTTTGTGCAGGGGTCCCCTGCAGTCCCCAAAACCTGAGATACCTGGGGTCATCTGGGAGGGTCTGTTTGGTCTTACCTGGAGAGACAGTATCTGCTCTCATTCCTCCACAGAATCCCCATCTTCCATGCAACCCCACCCACACCTGCAATTCTGTCCTCAGCTGGAATCCTTTTCTTATTTGAGGTCCTGTCCTCACCCAGAATCCTATCTCCACCTACAATCCTGTCTTCATCTGAGGTCCTATCCTTACCTGGAGTCCTACTGTAACCTGCAGTCCCACCCTTGCCTGCAGTCTCATCCTCACCTGTGGTCCCATCCTCACTTTCAGTGTCATCCTCACCTGTGGTCCCACCCGCACCTGGAGTCTTACCCACACCTGCAGTCTCATCCTCACCTGTGGTCCCATTCTCATCTTCAGTCCCATCCTCACCTGCAGTTCCATCCTAACCTGGAATCTTATCCTCACCTGGAACCTTACCCGCACCTGCAGTCCCATCCTCACCTGGCATCCCTTCCTTACCTAAAGGGCAGGAAAGTGTCAGTAATGTCTCTGGGACTGAGAAATTATTCCAAGAAATTAACCAGTTTTCTTGGACTATTCTCTCCTCTCCTTCCTTTGTTTTTCCATCAGACCAGAAAGAAAAATGGTCACGGTGTCTTAGAGCGCGGTTTGTACAAGTATTTAACAAGGAAAGGGCTGGGTAGGAGCCCCCCTACACCGTGCAAATATTTCTGGCACATGAAACTGGAAAGGGGCCAAGCAGTGTCCTCAGGATGGCACCAGGCTGGTTTAGGAAAGGGATCTGAGCGGCATCTCGGGAGCAGACTGCAGGGGTGAGGATCCAGGAGTGTGTGGCTGCAGGAGCTGGCCTCTGGTTCACAGCAAATTGTCAGGCATTTAACAAAGAAGACGAGACATTCCACACCATGTGAACAGCTCCTCAAATTTTAACACCACCTGGCAAATGGCTCCTTTTTCAACCAGGAAGAGGTCAGCACACGCCTGTTGTCACGGGATGGGGAGGAGGCGAGGTGACCCTGGGATTGCTGGTCAGACCAACAAGAGGCAGTGGGAGGGGTCTGCAAGGGGAGCCGTGTACTTTGCCATCAGCGTGGGAAACACAGCCCTTCCCAGACAGCATAATAATTAACTATACTGGAAATGGAGGTTGTTCTGCAAAAGTAGCATCACAGCCTTTGAGTGTCAGGACCAGAGCGAAGGTCAATGCCCTCTTTTGGACCCCTTCTCTTCTAGACGTGGAAGGAGGGGGTTAGGAGGAGGGTGTGCCGGCACTAGAGAGGGCTGGGCCCAGACTCTGTGCTCCCTCTCTAGCACAGCTTGAGATTCAAGCTAAGCTTTGACACAGGTTGCTTCTGTTCTCTGGTGACCCAAACTGGAAAATTTCCAGATGAGTCCATTTATTGATCACTACTTCTGAAATCTGGGATAGAGAAAGTGAAAAGCACACACCAGACATGTGCACGTGTGCACACACACCCCAGGAGCACACACAAACACACACCCCAGGAGCGCACACACACATGCGCACACACACCCCAGGAGCACACACACACATATGCACACCCCAGGAGCATACACCAGGCATGTGCATGTGTGCACACACAACCCAGGAGCGCACATGCACATGTGCACACACACCCCAGGAGCACAAACACACACACCCCAGGAGCACACACCAGGCATGTGCATGTGTGCACACACACCCCAGGAGCACACGCACATACACACACCCCAGGGGCACACACAAACACACACACCCCAGGGGCGCACACAAACACACCCCAGGGGCGCACACAAACGCACACACCCCAGGAGCACACACCCCAGAGGCGCACACACACACCCCAGGAGCACACACAAACACACACACCCCAGGGACGCACCGCACACACACATCCCAGGGGTGCACACAAACACACACACCCCAGGAGCGCACACACACCCCAGGAGCACACAAGCACATGCGCACACACACACCCCAGGAGCACACACAAACACACACACCCCAGGGACGCACCACACACACACACCCCAGGGGTGCACACAAACACACCCCAGGAGCGCACACACACCCCAGGAGCACACAAGCACATGCGCACACACACACCCCAGGAGCACACAACCCCCCCCACCCACCCCCCTGCCCCACCAAAGCTGAGCCTGACGTGTGGACCTGGAAACACGTGGGAAGGGGAAGTTCACTGTTTCCTCCTCTTCCACACCTGGAGCTGCTGGGATCCCGGCTGGAGCTGGTCTCCCTCAGGAGAAAAAGAAATGAAGCTTCAGCAAGGGCCAGAGGACATTTGGGGTGCGGAGCGAATGGTTTCAAACTTACAGAGGTGCAGCAGCCGCCTTTCTGTAGCAACTAGAGGCCAAGACCTGGAGAAATAAACCACCTGACTACATGGGAAAGTTACTGCTCTGCCCGTGAGATTCCTGAGAGAGGGACGTGCCCACCCCACGTAGGAGCTTCTCCTTCCCCCTGCCCTCCCATAAGAACCCCCACACTGGGCAGTGAGGAGAGGAGAGGGCCTGATGAGGCCAAGACTTTCTGGACTTTCTGGAAGCCTTTCAGGCTCTGTCCTGGCAGCCAAGCTGCCTTGGGCTGTGAACATTATGTAACTCTCAGAGCCTCCATGCTAATGGGTAGAAACTTAGAGGTAACAATAACTTTAAGTTATTTATGGTAGTTAAAATGCTCTTGAAATGCTTGAGGAGTCTCATTTTCAACCAATGTACTAGTTGCTCCCCTTTGTGTAGATGCTGTTTATTTACTTTATTTTCATAGATTGTTCAAAGACAAACCGGCAAATGAATCAGCCCTCCCTTCCTAGATCCCTGTGGCATTGCCAGCGCGGCCTTATCCATTTGTAATCCAGATGCACGGGAAGGTAGAAAAAGATGTGCGTGTGTGTGTGTGTGTCGTGATGTGTGTTCATGCATGTGGTATGTGTGGTGTGTGGTACGTGCACGTGTGTGGGGTGTGTGAGTTCACGTGTATATGTGTCATGTGCGTGTGTGTGCGTGTGTGTGCACATGTGTGTGTGTGCATGTGTGTGGTGTGTGTCTGTGCACGTGTGTGCATGTGTGGCAAGTGTGGTATGTGCACGTGTGTGGTGTGGGAGTTCACATGCATGTGTGTCATGTGCATGTGTGTGCATGTGTGCGGTGTGTGCACGTGTGTGTGTGCATGTGTGTGGTGTGTGTGTGCGTGTGTGCATGTGTGTGCACATGTGTGCGTGTGTGCATGTGTGTGGCGTGTGAATCTGTGCACATGTGTGCACGCACATATGTCAGGAGCAAGGGTGGGTGGTAGGAGCACACATGACCTTGCCCTGCCTCCTCCGGTCTCCCGTGTTTCACACCCTGTGAGTCTGTGTGTCTAAGGGCTCCAATACGAGGACAGTTCTCATCCCACCTGGCGTGTATTGCACCTTTGGGGAATACCATGTGCTTCCCTGTGGATGCTGGATGCCCACAACCTCACAGGGTCATGGCTTTTGTCTGGGACTGAGTGCCCTTCATCTAAGGGTGCAGAGCGGGGAACAGGCTCACAGGGCACACACCATGCCTATACCTGCGGGAAGTGGGCCTGGGAGCCGCATCTGGAAGCCCATCACCCACAGGCTGGTCTGGGCTGAGTGGACCGAACAACTCCACGTTTGTAAGGCGTGTCTGCCCTGGGGCAGTTAATTCTGAGGAGTTTTCTCTTCCAACACTGAGCAGCCATGAGTCCCTGCCATCTGGCCACTGTAACCTCTCTGCTGACCACCGCCCAGAGGTTGGGATCCGACCCAGTTCTGCGAGGACCAGCTGAGCCCAAGGCTGCCCGGCACAAAGGCGGCCCTGGGCCCTGGAGTTGTGCTGAAAAGAGGTTTCCTGACAGCCGCACCTGCTCCTTCCTGAGTCCCATGCACCACAGGCCCAGCCCCATGGGGTCCTGCGTGACGAGTCTTTGAAGGAGGCCCTTCTGCAGCTGCCCAGCCTGCCAGTGTCCACTCCACAAATGCCAGGAGCCACTGCCTCCCACCCCCGGCCCCAGCCTGCCTCCTGTCGCTTCCAGACCCTCTGCCTTGCCCTGGAGAACCCAGGCACCTGCCTTCCCCTCCCTAAGTGGGGCTTCATGGAGGGAAAGGGCTGCTCGGCCGCAGAATAACCTTCACCAGAAGCAACATTATCTCTTCCAATGTAGCGTGGCGCGCTGCCTGACTAACTCCCGGGAGCCCGTCTGACCCGCAGGCACGCAGCGTCATTAGTGATGCATGCGGTCCCAATGATACCGCACAGGGGAAGCCGGGCGTGCAAACGGCCCAGCAGAGGACGGACGGCGGGAGCCAGAGGAGAGGATGCCTGAGCTCTGGAGCAAGCGCAGCGCTGCATACGGCGGGCAGAGGGAGGGCAGACCCACCCGGCCTGGCCCCACCCGCACATGCTCTCCACCTTTGAAAGACAGCAGCCTAGGCCATCCGGCTTTGCACAACCGGAACAGCTTCCACTTGGAAAGCAAAAGTTTCACCACAGTCATGACAATATAAAGCGTTGGCCTTTCTCCCCCAGATGCTGTCCTTTAATGCGTTAAAACTTTAGACTTAGCACCACATTCCGGACACCGTATCAAACAAGGTCACGTGCGTATGAGGCTCTGGAGGGTGCCCGTGGGAGAAGTGGATGGAAATCATTTCATTTTGCATTTTCCCATGCAGATGCCTCCCTGAGTTTTCAAATTGCTCATGATCGTCCTATGACCCTGGCTTGTGGTATTTATCAATAGTTCCAAATTATTTGCCTGCTTTTCTCTAATTTCTACAGTGGAAGGATACGTGCAGCTCTCTGAAAACCTGGTGCCGCCCACAAAGACCTCAGAGAAGCCACAGTTCACAGATGCCTCATTCTAAGAGGTCTCCAGAATGAGGTGCTTGGCTGGGGTGCAGAGGCAGGAGGACATGCCAGGGCGTGGGTGGCCGGGATGCCACCCACGGAGTCTCACTGGAAGCGGGTTTCACTAGGAAAGGTGCACGGAGTCCACGCGGTTTCACTAGGAAAGGTGCGCGGAGCCCACGCGGTTTCACTAGGAAGGGTGCGCGGAGCCCACGCGGTTTCACTAGGAAGGGTGCGCGGAGCCCACGCGGTTTCACTAGGAAGGGTGCGCGGAGCCCACGCGGTTTCACTAGGAAGGGTGCGCGGAGTCCACGCGGTCTCACTAGGAAAGGTGCGCGGAGTCCACGTGGTCTCATTAGGAAAGGTGCATGGAGTCCACATCAGGAATTTTCCAGGGAGAAGAAGTGTGGTGTGAGCCCCAGTGAGGGCAAGAGGGCAGGGGAGCTGTGCTGTCTCCCAGGGCCACCATGCCATCCTGCTTTCTGCTCAGTT